>NC_000023.11:148111969-148414999 GCF_000001405.40 Homo sapiens
TATGAGAGATGAGGTAAGATTCTGTTTTACCTCACAAATCATAAAGTTAAAATGAATTTATGTTCAACATAGTTTCAGTGATATTTCATTTTTATTCTTCAAAAATTGAGGATCCATTAGCATATGACATACAGTGGTGATTCACAAATCAGATTGCCTTTCAGAATAATCTGGGACATTTATTTAAAATACACATTCTTGGCAACAGAATATCCCAACATTCTCCAATGTTCAGTTAACTAGATAATCCTTTTCTGACCATTCTGACTAATTAAAGTACACTTCATTGTATGGGTCCAGGGAAGCAAAATATAAGCTTGCAACATACAAGCTTGATAACCCTGATTTTTCTGTTTCATAACAAATAACACAGGAAAGAAGAGAAGGAATCATAGCCTACACTGGGATCTGTCTTCCTTTCTATATATTCTATCCCATCTTGAGCATGCATGCCGCAGCCTGATACTGATAGTGATAGTGATTGGAGTAGTACATGTATCAGTGAATTGCTGAGAACATTAAATGGTTATTGTTTAAGGGGCTTAGAACAGTGTCTGGCACATGGTAAGTGTGATATAAATATTAACTTGTATATAAAGATTTTCCAGATCCCCTAACTCATTGGTGAAGTGTCTGCTGATTGACTCGTAGCATACGTAAACAGGCTGTGTTGGCTTATTTGTTTCGTTCTATTCTGACTATATAGGGAGAGTAGGCATCTTCATTTCTATGGAGTCTCCCTTCATGTACTTCAAGATTATTAAGTTCCCATCTAGGCTTCTTGCTTCAAGTTCAATAATTATACATATTTTTATCTTTCATTGTAGCTCATGTTTTCCTACATCTAAATAACCTCTTTCCTGTTCCCCTAACACATTCCGAAGAACTATTTTGCCCATTGAGTGAGTATTCCTTTAGATGACTTTTATAATGGAAGAATAAATGGTCTCATATTTTCGAAAGGCCCATGAGACAGAGTCTAAGTCAGTGCTCCTCAAAATGTGATGTGCGTCAGAATCATTTGTGGCTCTTATTACAAATAAGGATGCTTTTACTCCACCCTGAAGATTTTGATTCAGTAGGTCTGCGTTGGGGCTTTGAGAGGTGTGTTTTTCAAAACCTTACAGTAAGATTCTGAAGTATAAGCGTTGAGAGCCACTACACTAGGGCATATGCTTACCCGCTAACAATCAGCTTGTTCTACTGGGTTCAAATACTCAAGAGGCTCCTCCATGGGCATTTGGAGCTTAATGCAGTCAGGTATTACAATCCTGTGCTCACAAGGGACTCTGTGATTATTATCATCATTATTAACAATATTAAAATGGACTAATAAAGGGTTAACACTTATATAGCACTATGTGCCAGGCAATGTTGTAAGTGCATTACATAAACATACATAAATCAAGGCATTTAATCTCCATAACTTTATGAGGTAGGGACTACCTCTCTTACCCTATTTAGCAGAACCACCTACCATCCTTGTTTTCAGATACAGAAACAGAGACACAGAAAAAATAATAGCTAACTTTATTGACCACTTACCCTCTGCCAGGTTCTAGCTTTAGTAAATCCCTCACTTGCATCTAATTCTCACAACACTTAATGAGTTCAGCGTGGCCTCATTGAGGTAGGTCCTTTTCCAAAGTTAATGCTGCTGGTCAGTGGCATCACCAGAACAGTATCCTAGGTCTTCACTGATCTAAAAGTCTGTGGGATCTGGTTGTCAAGATAGGTTAGCAGCTTTTTCTTTTAATAGTATGGGTATAACCCCATTATTATACTGACTTGTAGACACTTTTATGATGAGTTAAAGGAGCTGGGAAAGAAAGTATTCTTTGAAAAGCCTTTGGAAGCCCTCTCTTGAAGTAAGTGGGAGAAGTTTAATTCAACGTGTTGTTTGAAACAGATTCCCCTAAGTGTGAATCTAAGAAGTTAGGGCGGGAACTTCCTTCATGCCTCCCTCAATTGACCCTGGATTTTTCAGAGAATGAAACAGTAGAGAAGGGGTTAATTGTAAGGGTGCCCTAGCTGAAAATTTTGCTCCCTCTTAAATCTAAGAATGTTCTGAAACAAGCCTCAGAGCACGTGACAAAGGTATTTCTGATGCATCTAGATGTGAGAAGCAGTGCCTTTGCGTAAAAAAACAGTGGAATTTAAGAGGACATTTTTGGTGGATTAAGGAGGCAAACAACTTGGAACTGTTCTGGAAAATCTGTTCACTGTGCACTAGCTGGGAGGCTAGTCAAGATGAGAAAAATTTTAGCCTTCTCATGTAGGAATTATGTGTTCCTAGAGACAAGACAGGAAAGCTCTTGCTATAGTTCTTTTAATTGCCTAGGAGACTAAGAATGTTGTTCTCTTGGGCAGAGTTTTGGATTTCCCCAGCTCTGGATGGGCAGATGTATTTTGGGACTAGAAGATATTTTTCAGACTCAAAGGGTAAAAACAACTAAACAACTTATTTGGAGTGCAGGAATTTCCTATCTTTCAATAAAATTAATGTTATTTTTAAAAGCACAGATAATAATCAGCAACAATAGATAAATAGATATATGGGAAAGCACACAACGTAATCTGTCAATGTTTAGCAAAAGAAGAGAAATGTAAGGGGGAAAAGGAGTAAGTGAGGTGACAAAAGCCACATGCATATGTGGTGACAAATATGGACTCCTTTCCAGGAAAGAGTAGAGTATTTGGGGGATAGGGTAAGCACCTTGCTACTCAATACATGATCTGCAGACCAGGCGCATGAGGTTTGCCTGGAAGCTTGCTGGAAATGCAGAATCTCAGACTCCATCCCAGGCGCACTGAAACTGCATTGCATTTTAACAACCTCGACAGATGATTTGTTCTGACGTTAAACTTTGAAAAGTACTGGGGTAGAAGACTGACTTAAGATCTCCTTTTGTTTGCTGCTCCATTTTTATGTATTCTTTGGGAGGAAATCCCTTTTGTTTGAAGGAAAAATGTCTCTAGTGAGTGGTGAATGTAGAGATCAACCTTGGAGAGAGCCTGGAAGCGTATTACTGTCTCCTTCTCTGGTTCTGACAGTGAAAACAACAACAACAACAACAACAACAACAAACAAAAAACAGAAACAAAACAAAAAAGAAAAACCAAAGCAACACCCAACCCTTTCTATTTACAATACTCTATATGATTTAAATAAGAACACAAAGATAATCATTACCCTCATTCTCCACAAACATGCATGTGCAAGGCTTTGTAGATGTGACAGTTACTTGGTTGTGACAGTTTTGTTCAGAGTTGAAAAGTGCTGAGAAGCATCCCTAAATTGACTTCAAACTTGGGGTAGGTGAGAAACAGCTGGGGGGAGTTGAATGAAGTTGGTAGAGATTCATTCTGACAGGATAGCTATTAAGACTAAACACTTGTTTGATGGTGTGGGAGCCTGGAGCACTGGCTGTAATTGAAAGCCTGAATCTCCCTTTTGTAATACAAGTTGACAGTGAAGGCCTGATTGTTGAAAGTATTCTAAAGTTGTTTTCAGCATATATTGGGACTTTCTCTTATAATAAAAGGCATCAGTATGAAGCCATTTGTTTTATTCAGTAGACTATTGACAAGTGAGATTGTTGTGGCTTTCTCATTATGGAACTGAATGAAAACAAGTTAAATGGTTTGAGTTCTGAATGTGGTAAGTATACAGTTTAGTAAAATAGACGCATTAGCAGCCAGAAATAACAAGGGGTAACTACCCACTAGTGGTGGGAATAGAGCTGTGCTTCTAGATGTAATACTATTTTGGAGGACTTCTGGGGACTAAAGAATACCATGAAATATTATTTTTGTGGATACATCCATTGTCATACTGAGATAGTTCCTAAACAGAGTCTACAAATAATAGCTAGATCTTGATTCCTCAGCAAAATGATCAAGATCTTTTTGATCTTGCTAAGTCTATGACTTCCAGCTGAGGTTGCAGTTCCTTAAGAGTACATTAGGAGCCAGGTGTGGTGGCTTTCACTTGTAATCCCAGCTACTTGGGATTATAATAGTTCAAAACTGTGGTGAACTGTGACCCTGGGACCATGCCACTGTACTGCAGCATGGGTAATAGAGTGAGATCCTGAAGAAAGAAAGGAAGGAAGGAAGGAAGGAAGGAAGGAAGGAAGGAAGGAACAAGGAAAGAAAGAAGGAAAAAAAGAGAGAGAGAGAAAGAAGAAAGCAAGCAAGCAAGCAAGAAAGAAACAAAAGGGAATTGAAGGGAAGGGGAGGGAAGGGAGGGGAGGGGAGGGGAGGAGACGGGAAGGGAAGGGGCGGAAGGAAGGAGAAAAGAAAAGAAAAAGAGAACTTTGGTGAAAAGTGGCAAGGGAATGATATCAGCAAGATAGCTGAATAGAAGTGCCTGGTGCTGTCCCCACCCCCATGAGAAGACCCCAAACAACTACATTTGGACTACAGTGTCTGAAGAAGTGTGCCAGAGTACAGAAAGGGCATGGCTGAATCCCTGTGGAATACAGAAACCCACAATGGTACCATAGAGAGGCGAGCAAAATATCCTGTGTCTGCCACCCTGTATCCTCCACTGGAATCAGCTCAAAGCCAGGAGGAACTTCTTGTGGGAAAAAGGTAAGCAGTAGTCCCCACTACCACTGCATATAACTTCATCCCTTGCTACAGGAGAATCTTACAGTCCTTACAAGCCCTGAACCCAGTTTGAGAATCTTAGATTTTATACAGTGGCATTGCTCCAGAGTAGGATCCCAGGTTGTGAATCACCCATTTCCCATGACCCAAGCTGCTGTGGAACAGCAACATCTTGAAACTGGACCCACTGCTAGAGTGTGTCCTCACCTAAGGGTCAGTAACCACTGCATGCCTTCATCCCTGAGGCTCTGCCACCATTCTACCATGCTCACACAGGTGGCTGCAGTTCTGCTACTCCAGCTACTTGTAGCCTAGACCCAAAGAAACAGCCCTGACCCTTGAGCCTGAACCCATGTGGTACCCTACCTCTCAAGAAACAGGGAGTTCTGCACAGTGAGGAAGCCAACCTTGCCTAAGGGACCTACCATGCATGCATACCCCTGGCCTAAGAACCATCTCAGTGGCCCCATATCTGGTGAGCCAGCCTCCAAACTAGCCAGCCAGCTGCACATGTGTACCCTTGGCCTGAGAACTAGCAGACCAGCCCACCCCTGCAAAGCCACAGCACTGCCACAACAAACTCCCACAGCCTAGGACACTGAAGCACTCACAGGCATCACTGACATGGATTACAGATGAAGAACCTATAGACTATACTATTGTATCTTCCCAGAGCCATAGCCAAGATACAATATCCAACCAATACACTAGGAACTATCTATAGGAAAAAACTTTCCTTATGAAAGGTATTCCATAAAATTGGAAGAGGCAACTCTTCCACCAGATGTGCAGATATCAATGTAGGGACACAAGAAATGTAAAAAACAGGAAACATGACACCTCAAAAGGAGCACAAAAATTCTCCAGTTAACAGGACAAAAATAAAATAAAGCTTATAAAATGCCTGAAAGGCAATTTAAAATAATGATCTTTAGGAAATTCAATGAGACACAAGAGAATATAGATAAACAATTCAATAAAATCAGGAAAACAATTCATGATTTGAATGAGAAATTCAACAGAGATAGATATAATAAAAAAGAATAAAATAGAAATATTGGAGATGAAGAATACAGTCTATTAAAGAATACTATTGAGCCTCAGCAACAGACTAGATAAAGTGGAAGAAAGAAATTCTAAATTTGAAGGCAAATCTTTTGAAATAACACAGTCAGAGGAAATAATAGAAATAAGAAAAAAGAATGAAGAAAGCCTATGGGACTTATAGGACACAATTGAGTGAACAAATAAAAATTTGCATTATTGGAGTTACAAAGAAGAGATAGAGAAAGGTACAGAAAACATTTAATATAAATAATTTGAAAACTTCACAAGACTTGGGAGAGACATGGTCATCCAGATCCAGGAAGCTCAAAGGTCCCCAAATAGATTAACCCAAAAAGGTCCTCTCCAAGGCACATAAAATCAAACTGTAAAAAGTCAAAGACAAAGAGAGAATTCTAAAAGCAGCAAGAGAAAAGCATCAAGTCACATATAAGGTAATCGCCATTAGATCCTCTGCATACTTCTTAGCAGAAACATTATAGGCCAGGAAAAAATGGGATGATATAATCAAAGTACTGAAAGAAAAAAGCCTGCTAGCCAAAAAACCATATATGACCAGGCACAGTGGCTCATGCCTGTAATCCCAGCAGTTTAGGAGGCCAAGGTGGGAGGAATACTTGAGCCCAGGAGTTCAAGACCAGCCTGGGAAACATAATGTGACCCTGTCCTTACAAAAAATAAAAAATAAAAAATTAGCCAGGCATGGTGGCATGTTGCTGTGGTTCCAGATACTCAGAAGACTGAGGTGGGAGGATTGCTTGAGCCTGTGAGGTTGAGGCTGTGGTGAGCCATGATTGTACCACTGTACTCCAGCCTCAGTGACAGAATGAAACCTTGTCTCAAAAAGAAAAAAAAAAAGAATTCTATACCCAGCAAAGCTACCCTTCAGAAATGAAAAAGAAACTCCTCAGACAAGCAAAAGGTGAGAGATTTTGTCACTACTAGATTGGCCTCAGAAGAAATGCTTAAGGGAGTTCTACAACTGGAAGTGAAAGGGTTATCATTACTATCATGAAAACACATGAAAGTATAAAACTCACTAGTAGAGGTAAATTCATATTTAGACTCAGAATATTCCAGCACTGTAATGGTGCTATGTAAATATTTCACACCTCTAGATGAAGGTTAAAAGTAAAAATGGTTAAAAATAACTATAGCTAAAATTAGTTTTTAAGGAACACATAATATTTAAAGGTCTAAATTAAGGCAACAAAAATATAAATTGGTGAAGAGAGTAAAAATTTACAGCTTTTATGCAACTAAAGTTAACTTGTTATCAGCTTATAAATACAATGTTCTTTATGTTATCCCCAGAGTAATCACAAAGGAAGAAATTGCAGCAGATACACAAATAAGAAAGAGAAAAGAATCAAAACTTGGCATCACAGAAAACTGCCATGCTACAAAGGTGAACAACAAGAGAGGTAAAAAGGACCAAAGGTTCTACAAAACAACCAGAAAACAATGAACATAATGGCAGGAGTAAGTCCTTATCTATCAATAATAACCTTGAGTGTAAATAAATTAAATTTAATTTAATTCTTGAATTAAAAGGTATAGCGTGAACAAATTTAAAAAAATAAGACCCAACTATATGCAGCCTGCAAGAGACCTACTTCTCCTGTAAGGATATACATGCTGAAAATGAAGGGGTGGAGAAAAATATTACATGCAAACAGAAACAAAAAGTTAATAGGAATAGCTATACTTATATCACATAAAATGTACTTCGGTAAAAGCTATAAAAACAGACAAAGGTTATTATATAATGATAAAGCAATCTATTCAGTAAGGTGATATAACAGTGGTACATGAATATGCACCCAACACCAGAGCACATAAATATATAAAGCAAATTTTAGATCTAAGGGGAAAGATAGACTGCAAAACAATAATGGCAGTGGATTTCAACACCCCACTTTCAGGAATGGACAAATCGTCCAGACAGAAAATCAATGAATAAACACTGGATTGAAACTGCACTGTAGACCAAAAGAACCAAACAAACACTTAAAGAGCTTTCTACCCAACAGCAGAAGAATACACATTCCTCTCAACTGCACATGGGACATTCTCCAGGATAGATTATATGTTAAGACACTAAACCAGTTTAAACAAGTTTAAGAAGATAGAAGTCATATCAATTATCTTTTTTGACCACAACAGTATATAACTAGAAATCAAGAACAGGAGGAACATAGGAAACTTAAAAGATACATGGAAATTAAACGATATGTTCCTTAATAACCAATGGGTCAATGGATAAATTTAAAAGGAAATTAGAAGATTTCTTAAGACAAATAAAAATGAAAATACAACATACCAAAATCTATGGGATACAGCAAAAACTGTTTTAAGAGGGAAGTTTATAGCAATAAATGCCTACATCAAAAAAGAAGAAAGTGGAGAGAATGCAGAGCGAGATGGCTGAATAGAACCCTCCAATGATCATCCTCCCCATTCCAGAAACAGAACATTGAACAATTATCTACACAAGAAACCACCTTTATAAGAACCAAAAATCAGGTGAGTGATACCTGATTTTAACTTTGTATCACTGAAAGAGGCACGGAAGAGTGTAGGAAAGACAGTCTTCAGCCGCTAACAACACCCCTCCCTATCCTCAGGCAGGGCAGTGTGCTGCAGAGAATCTGTGTCCTTCTGGGAGGGAGAGCAAAGTGATTGTGGGACTTTGCACTGGAACTCAGTGCTGCCCTGTCATAGCAGCATTTGGCAGAAAGATACCTGATATGATCTCTATCTTCCCAGTGCCCACAAAGGGAGCACTTAGACCAGCACTAGTCAGAAGGGAATTTTCCCTCCCAACGGTAGGGAGAAATAATTCCACCTGGGAGTTATAAACTCAGTGGTTCTGAACTATCAGTTAGGACCCAGGAAAAAGACTCGCTGCTACAGTGTTCAAGAAGATGAACAGGATGTTGAGAATAAGAACATAGGCTCAAGCAGACCTCAGTTCAAATTGTAGCCAGTGACACCTGTTCTTTATGTATGTATTTTTGTGTGTGTGCGTGTGTGCGCAATTGTGTGCATTTGTCTAATATTTAAAAAATGTATGGATACCTACTTTACAAACTCTTGTGAAGATGGTTTGAAACATCATATAAAAAGCACTTCAAACAGTACCCATAACATAGTAGGAGATCAACAAACTAGGATTTAGTAATAGTAGCAGTGTCATCAGCAGTGATACCAAAATGGTGGGTATGTAAAGTCAGTCTAATCTTTAATATTTCTGAATAGTGTGGCCTTATTTATAGGCCAACTCGCCTTTACTGGCCAATAGCAGATGGGGAGCAATGGATCCTTTTCCTCATGAGTGACATAAACAGGAACGGTACACAAGAAATAAATATGAAGAATTAAAAGTATACACACACACACACACACACACACACACACACATCCATATAGTTTATTCTACAAATTACTTGCTATTCATATTATGCCGTGACTTTTGTATCAAGCTCTGTGACCCTGAATGGGAGGTGCTAAGTTACTTTGTATTTAATTGTTATAATTTATTGCTTTTTCTGCCTTCAGCCACTGACTGTAAATTTTTGTAGAGAAACACAAAATTGCTTCCTGTTCTTGACACAGAAAGGCCTTTTTCCCCCTAGTTAAGCTCATAATTTTATGTTGGATGACCTTTGTTTCTGTGGCTTGGTTTTATGATTTAAAAACTGCTTTGGATGACAGACAGTTCTGGGGATGATTTTTTTTAACCAATGCAAATTGCCTGAGCCCATGACATAATGCTAGTTCTTCTCTTTGTATTTCCTGATAGTATTACCAGCATCATGCTGCCTATAAATCAATTAATCTGCCCTGGATGAGAATCTCAAGGCCTGTGAGTATGTTGCTTGAAAAAAATACCTTTGTCTCTACCAACTTTTATTCCCAACATGAAATTCTTGTAAAATCACATTAAGGCAGTTGGAAATTAAAAGCAATCCGTTTTTTCTTTAGATAAAAGGTTTGGTTCTGATACATAACACAGTCAGTTTGAGTGAAAGAGAAGAATTTTTGTACTGAGTATTTTTTTATTGTGCCTGAAGCTTTAACCTCCTTTTCTTTCCCTGTTGTGTGTTAAGAAAATTAAGTATCATAAGTAAGGGAGACTACATTGGTATGTGCAGCCCCTATTGGCTTTTGATTGTGAAAACACAGGCCAAGGCCTGAGCATCTTGTTGACTCATTTGCACAGATGGAAAGCATGAAGATTCACCCTCAACAGCAGGTTAGAATTGGAAGTCAAAGGCTCAAATTGGAAGTCACCATGTCTCCCTGTATCAATTTAGTGTCCTCATTGCCCCATGCAACTTCTTAACATAAATTTGGATTTTAAAAAGAGTAGTTTTTTGAAGTGTGGGCTTTTTGAGATTAAGTGTAGGCCAAAGGGATACATGGCTGAGAAGTTAAGTATGATCAAAATCCTGCTAAGTGCCTGCCTTATATTTGTCAACCAGGAGGGATAGTCTAAGGCTATTGGCAGAAGTTCACGCTCTTCTAAAACAAGGGCAATCTACCAACCCGAGAGCCAAAAACAGCAAAGGAAATATGTGCCAGCTTTCTCCCTATATTGGCCCGTTGGGTTTTGGTCACCCATCCTTAACAGGGTCATTTCTGGCTGCTAATAAAAAAAGCAGGCCCAAATTTAGGGTTCTTGAGGGCCATTAGGAGGACAAGGGAGAAATTGCAATACAAACAGAGTGGTTGAGATAGATAGGGACAAGAATGGAGTTGTACCTATCTGAGAAAAGATGTTCTGAGTGTCTGTGATTCATAGAATCAGTTTGAATAGTGGGAATGAAAACGTAAAGTGATTTTGGAAGTTTTCAAATAACATATGTACCAATATGTGTGTGCACATTCACACATGTGTGATGGCTGTTTGGGAATGTGTGTATCTCATGTCCTGATGATATCATCTTTTGGAATGAAATATTTATTTTTGCAGCTACCTATGAGAGTTTGAAGGCTAAGTCCAGTCCAGTTTCTGAGCCTCTTCAATCTGAGCAGAGTCAAAAATCCCATTGGTTACTGAATCCTGGAATTAGCTTCATTTCTGTTGACCATGAACACCTAGTGTGCTTGGTGGTGTTTCTTGTTCCCTCATGTGCTTACCAAATCATACCTTTCTCACTTCCATCATGTTGGTCCAGTCTCTCTGCCTGAGTTCATGTCTTGGTTTTGAATTCCTCACTGGAACTAGGTTTGTCTTGAATACCTGCCCTCTTGGCTGGGTTCTTATACTGATCATGACCCCTTCCTGCACCAAACCTGCATACAAGAGTTCCTTTAAACTTAGGACATTGGACTGCCTCCTGGTATAACAAACAAACTACCATTGGATCCGTCCTCCCTCAGCCGTGTTGGACCTGCTGTGGTCTTATTTTCCCTCTTCACTTGAACATGTTAAAGAAGATCCAGCATGCCATTTCACCTGAGATTCTTCTGTTTGATGGCAATCAACGTCCAAGAGTTCATACATTTACCAAAAAAGGGGACGTTTTTGGTTTAGAATACTTTGAAATGTCAAAATGAATGAAAGTATTAACTAGTAATATTAGTGCATTAATATATAACCTAGCTACTTATGTCTCCATTTTTTAAAGAACCAATTGCAAGTCTAATGAGTACTAGTCCTAGTTCTGGTCCTACTTTGGTGATTTGGAATATCACACAGTAAATTCCTCCTTTTATGTATGTTACAAACTGTAGCTATTGCAATATTCATAAGCAAGAGTTCTCACAAATACATAAAAATGAGGTATGTATCTTTTTTTATTTTTATTTTTTATTTTTTATTATTATACTGTAAGTTTTAGGGTACATGTGCACATTGTGCAGGTTAGTTACATATGTATACATGTGCCATGCTGGTGCGCTGCACCCACTAATTCGTCATCTAGCATTAGGTATATCTCCCAATGCTATCCCTCCCCCCTCCCCCCACCCCACAACAGTCCCCAGAGTGTGATATTCCCCTTCCTGTGTCCATGTGATCTCATTGTTCAATTCCCACCTATGAGTGAGAATATGCGGTGTTTGGTTTTTTGTTCTTGCGATAGTTTACTGAGAATGATGATTTCCAATTTCATCCATGTCACTACAAAGGACATGAACTCATCATTTTTTATGGCTGCATAGTATTCCATGGTGTACATGTGACACATTTTCTTAATCCAGTCTATCATTGGTGGACATTTGGGCTGGTTCCAAGTCTTTGCTATTGTGAATAATGCCGCAGTAAACATACGTGTGCATGTGTCTTTATAGCAGCATGATTTATAGTCCTTTGGGTATATACCCAGTAATGGGATGGCTGGGTCAAATGGTATTTCCAGTTCTAGATCCCTGAGGAATCGCCACACTGACTTCCACAATGGTTGAACTAGTTTACAGTCCCACCAACAGTGTAAAAGTGTTCCTATTTCTCCACATCCTCTCCAGCACCTGTTGTTTCCTGACTTTTTAATGATTGCCATTCTAACTGGTGTGAGATGGTATCTCATTGTGGTTTTGATTTGCATTTCTCTGATGGCCAGTGATGGTGAGCATTTTTTCATGTGTTTTTTGGCTGCATAAATGTCTTCTTTTGAGAAGTGTCTGTTCATGTCCTTTGCCCACTTTTTGATGGGGTTGTTTGTTTTTGTCTTGTAAATTTGTTTGAGTTCATTGTAGATTCTGGATATTAGCCCTTTGTCAGATGAGTAGGTTGCGAAAATTTTCTCCCATTCTGTAGGTTGCCTGTTCACTCTGATGGTAGTTTCTTTTGCTGTGCAGAAGCTCTTTAGTTGAATTAGATCCCATTTGTCAATTTTGTCTTTTGTTGCCATTGCTTTTGGTGTTTTAGACATGAAGTCCTTGCCCATGCCTATGTCCTGAATGGTAATGCCTAGGTTTTCTTCTAGGGTTTTTATGGTGTTAGGTCTAACGTTTAAGTCTTTAATCCATCTTGAATTGATTTTTGTGTAAGGTGTAAGGAAGGGATCCAGTTTCAGCTTTCTACATATGGCTAGCCAGTTTTCCCAGCACCATTCATTAAATAGGGAATCCTTTCCCCATTGCTTGTTTTTCTCAGGTTTGTCAAAGATCAGATAGTTGTAGATATGCAGCGTTATTTCTGAGGGCTCTGTTCTGTTCCATTGATCTATATCTCTGTTTTGGTACCAGTACCATGCTGTTTTGGTTACTGTAGCCTTGTAGTATAGTTTGAAGTCAGGTAGCGTGATGCCTCCAGCTTTGTTCTTTTGGCTTAGGATTGACTTGGCGATGCGGGCTCTTTTTTGGTTCCATATGAACTTTAAAGTAGTTTTTTCCAATTCTGTGAAGAAAGGCATTGGTAGCTTGATGGGGATGGCATTGAATCTGTAAATTACCTTGGGCAGTATGGCCATTTTCACGATATTGATTCTTCCTACCCATGAGCATGGAATGTTCTTCCATTTGTTTGTATCCTCTTTTATTTCCTGGAGCAGTGGTTTGTAGTCCTACTTGAAGAGGTCCTTCAGATCCCTTGTAAGTTGGATTCCTAGGTATTTTATTCTCTTTGCAGCAATTGTGAATGGGAGTTCACTCATGATTTGGCTCTCTGTTTGTCTGTTGTTGGTGTATAAGAATGCTTGTGATTTTTGTACATTGATTTTGTATCCTGAGACTTTGCTGAAGTTGCTTATCAGCTTAAGGAGATTTTGGGCTGAGACAATGGGGTTTTCTAGATATACAATCATGTCATCTGCAAACAGGGACAATTTGACTTCCTCTTTTCCTAATTGAATACCCTTTATTTCCTTCTCCTGCCTAATTGCCCTGGCCAGAACTTCCAACACTATGTTGAATAGGAGTGGTGAGAGAGGGCATCCCTGTCTTGTGCCAGTTTTCAAAGGGAATGCTTCCAGTTTTTGCCCATTCAGTATGATATTGGCTGTGGGTTTGTCATAAATAGCTCTTATTATTTTGAAATACGTCCCATCAATACCTAATTTATTGAGAGTTTTTAGCATGAAGGGTTGTTGAATTTTGTCAAAGGCTTTTCCTGCATCTATTGAGATAATCATGTGGTTTTTGTCTTTGGCTCTGTTTATATGCTGGATTACATTTATTGATTTGCGTATATTGAACCAGCCTTGCATCCCAGGGATGAAGCCCACTTGATCATGGTGGATAAGCTTTTTGATGTGCTGCTGGATTCGTTTTGCCAGTATTTTATTGAGGATTTTTGCATCAATGTTCATCAAGGATATTGGTCTAAAATTCTCTTTTTTTGGTGTGTCTCTGCCTGGCTTTGGTATCAGAATGATGCTGGCCTCATAAAATGAGTTAGGGAGGATTCCCTCTTTTTCTGTTGATTGGAATAGTTTCAGAAGGAATGGTACCAGTTCCTGCTTGTACCTCTGGTAGAATTCGGCTGTGAATCCATCTGGTCCTGGACTCTTTTTGGTTGGTAAGCTATTGATTATTGCCACAATTTCAGATCCTGTTATTGGTCTATTCAGAGATTCAACTTCTTCCTGGTTTAGTCTTGGGAGAGTGTATGTGTCGAGGAATTTATCCATTTCTTCTAGATTTTCTAGTTTATTTGCATAGAGGTGTTTGTAGTATTCTCTGATGGTAGTTTGTATTTCTGTGGGATCGGTGGTGATATCCCCTTTATCATTTTTTATTGCATCTATTTGATTCCTCTCTCTTTTTTTCTTTATTAGTGTTGCTAGCGGTCTATCAATTTTGTTGATCCTTTCAAAAAACCAGCTCCTGGATTCATTAATTTTTTGAAGGGTTTTTTGTGTCCCTATTTCCTTCAGTTCTGCTCTGATTTTAGTTATTTCTTGCCTTCTGCTAGCTTTTGAATGTGTTTGCTCTTGCTTTTCTAGTTCTTTTAATTGTGATGTTAGGGTGTCAATTTTGGATCTTTCCTGCTTTCTCTTGTGGGCATTTAGTGCTATAAATTTCCCTCTACACACTGCTTTGAATGCGTCCCAGAGATTCTGGTATGTTGTGTCTTTGTTCTCGTTGGTTTCAAAGAACATCTTTATTTCTGCCTTCATTTCGTTATGTACCCAGTAGTCATTCAGGAGCAGGTTGTTCAGTTTCCATGTAGTTGAGCGGTTTTGAGTGAGATTCTTAATCCTGAGTTCTAGTTTGATTGCACTGTGGTCTGAGAGATAGTTTGTTATAATTTCTGGTCTTTTACATTTGCTGAGGAGAGCTTTACTTCCAAGTATGTGGTCAATTTTGGAATAGGTGTGGTGTGGTGCTGAAAAAAATGTATATTCTGTTGACTTGGGGTGGAGAGTTCTGTAGATGTCTATTAGGTCTGCTTGGTGCAGAGCTGAGTTCAATTCCTGGGTATCCTTGTTGACTTTCTTTCTCGTTGATCTGTCTAATGTTGACAGTGGGGTGTTAAAGTCTCCCATTATTAATGTGTAGGAGTCTAAGTCTCTTTGTAGGTCACTCAGGACTTGCTTTATGAATATTGGTGCTCCTGTATTGGGTGCATATATATTTAGGATAGTTAGCTCTTCTTGTTGAATTGATCCCTTTACCATTATGTAATGGCCTTCTTTGTCTCTTTTGATCTTTGTTGGTTTAAAGTCTGTTTTATCAGAGACTAGGATTGCAACCCCTGCCTTCTTTTGTTTTCCATTTGCTTGGTAGATCTTCCTCCATCCTTTTATTTTGAGCCTATGTGTGTCTCTGCACGTGAGATGGGTTTCCTGAATACAGCACACTGATGGGTCTTGACTCTTTATCCAATTTGCCAGTCTGTGTCTTTTAATTGGAGCATTTAGTCCATTTACGTTTAAAGTTAATATTGTTATGTATGAATTTGATCCTGTCATTATGATGTTGGCTGGTTATTTTGCTCGTTAGTTGATGCAGTTTCTTCCTAGTCTCGACGGTCTTTACATTTTGGCATGATTTTGCAGCGGCTGGTACCAGTTTTTCCTTTCCATGTTTAGTGCTTCCTTCAGGAGCTTTTTTAGGGCAGGCCTGGTGGTGACAAAATCTCTCAGCATTTGCTTGTCTGTAAAGTATTTTATTTCTCCTTCACTTATGAAGCTTAGTTTGGCTGGATATGAAATTCTGGGTTGAAAATTCTTTTCTTTAAGAATGTTGAATATTGGTCCCCACTCTCTTCTGGCTTGTAGGGTTTCTGCCGAGAGATCAGCTGTTAGTCTGACGGGCTTCCCTTTGAGGGTAACCCAACCTTTCTCTCTGGCTGCCCTTAACATTTTTTCCTTCATTTCAACTTTGGTGAATCTGACAATTATGTGTCTGGGAGTTGCTCTTCTCGAGGAGTATCTTTGTGGAGTTCTCTGTATTTCCTGAATCTGAATGTTGGCCTGCCTTGCTAGATTGGGGACGTTCTCCTGGATAATATCCTGCAGCGTGTTTTCCAACTTGGTTCCATTCTCCCCATCACTTTCAGGTACACCAATCAGACGTAGATCTGGTCTTTTCACATAGTCCCATATTTCTTGGAGGCTTTGCTCATTTCTTTTTATTCTTTTTTCTCTAAACTTCCCTTCTTGCTTCATTTCATTCATTTCATTTTCCATTGCTGATACCCTTTCTTCCAGTTGATCGCATCGGCTCCTGAGGCTGCTGCATTCTTCAAGTAGTTCTCCAGCCTTGGTTTTCAGCTCCATCAGCTCCTTTAAGCTCTTCTCTGTATTGGTTATTCTAGTTATACATTCTTCTAAATTTTTTTCAAAGTTTTCAACTTCTTTGCCTTTGGTTTGTATGTCCTCCCGTAGCTCAGAGTTATTTGATCGTCTGAAGCCTTCTTCTCTCAACTCGTCAAAGTCATTCTCCATCCAGCTTTGTTCCGTTGCTGGTGAGGAACTGCGTTCCTTTGGAGGAGGGGAGGCGCTCTGCTTTTTAGAGTTTCCAGCTTTTCTGTTCTGTTTTTTCCCCATCTTTGTGGTTTTATCTACTTTTGGTCTTTGATGATGGTGATGTACAGATGTGTTTTTGGTGTGGATGTCCTTTCTGTTTGTTAGTTTTCCTTCTAACAGACAGGACCCTCAGCTGCAGGTCTGTTGGAACACCCTGCCATGTGAGGTGTCAGTGTGCCCCTGCTGGGGGGTGCCTCCCAGTTAGGTTGCTCGGGGGTCAGGGACCCACTTGAGGAGGCAGTCTGCCCGTTCTCAGATCTCCAGCTGCGTGCTGGGAGAACCACTGCTCTCTTCAAAGCTGTCAGACAGGGACCTTTAAGTCTGCAGAGGTTACTGCTGTCTTTTTGTTTGTCTGTGCCCTGCCCCCAGAGGTGGAGCCTACAGAGGCAGGCAGGCCTCCTTGAGCTGTGGTGGGCTCCACCCAGTTCGAGCTTCCCGGCCGCTTTGTTTACCTAAGCAAGCCTGGGCAATGGCGGGCGCCCCTCCCCCAGTCTCGCTGCCGCCTTGACTGCTGTGCTAGGAATCAGCGAGACTCTGTGGGCATAGGACCCTCCGAGCCAGGTGCGGGATATAATCTCGTGGTTCGCCGTGTTTTAAGCCCGTCGGAAAAGCGCAGTATTCGGGTGGGAGTGACCCGATTTTCCAGGTGCCGTCTGTCACCCCTTTCTTTGACTAGGAAAGGGAACTCCCTGACCCCTTGCGCTTCCCGAGTGAGGCAATGCCTCGCCCTGCTTCGCTCGCGCACGGTGCACGCACCCACTGACCTGCGCCCACTGTCTGGCACTCTCTAGTGAGATGAACCCGGTACCTCAGATGGAAATGCAGAAATCACCCGTCTTCTGCGTCGCTCACGCTGGGAGCTGTAGAGCGGAGCTGTTCCTATTCGGCCATCTTGGCTCCTCTCCTGAGGTATGCATCTTTATGTCACATATTTATAATTTCAAATCTGTCACATATTTATAAGTAATCAAATAGAACAGGTAGAAAACACATTGGGTTTAAATAAGCCAAAATTTAGAATTTAAAGTATTTCTATATTGATGTTCTTCAGAAATGGTATGGACCAGGGAGTGAGGTGTAGACAGATAAAGAAAAAAGAACTTAATTATGATGAATTTTTATTATCAGATAATACATTTTTTCATAATTTCTCTATTTTCTGGGTTTTCATGACTGTAAATAAGCCAAATTAATTTTATGAGCATGCCAAATTATAAGTAATACTTCCTAATGCTGCCAAACCAACAAAGCACATTTTAATCTAATCAGCACTAAAGTGTTACATATATTTATCTTTTGCACAGTTTAATAACCTGTGGTTAATAATTGCCAAAATATTACAATGGGACTTAAATAGGTTTTCTAAATATCCAGAGGAAGGGAGGGGTGGTCCTACCTTCAAAACCTGACAGATTTGATTCTTTGGGATCTCCTTAGGAACTTCAAGCAGGAAAGGTTGTGAAACAACTCAGAGTCCATCAACACACTCACTTGTGCCATCTGCAAGATATGTTTTCTGCAGACCTTGCAAAACTCCTGATACACACACATATATATACACACATATATATACACACACATGTGTGTATATGTACATATATACACATACGTACATTTATATATACATATATGTGTATACATATACATATATATTTAAACTTTTTGTACATGTTGTTGATTAAGAGGAGGTAAAATTAAGAGGGGCTAACATTTCAAGCTAACACATGTTACTGAACATAGAATTGTACACATGAGGTCATTACTGCAGCACATGTGTGCTGGGCTCAATAAGTAAATATCAGGTGCACACTTTCCTTCAGAGGCAAGGAGCAGTTGTACAATAAAAACAAGGGGATGTGGCATTCATCTCGTGGTGACAAGATACCATTTTCTTGGTTAGTGCTGAGGCAAGTTTGGGATACTTTTCTCTGAATTTTAATAGGCAGAAGAACCTTATCTGGCGATATATGCTTCTAAAGTTCCTAGGATTATGGTTGTAGTTTTAGCAATGAAATGAAAAGCTAAAGCTGGATTCATTATGGAAAACAAAATAAATTCGGTGGTTTTGAAATTTCCAGAGGCTACCTGAAAAATAGGTATTGATGTATCTCACATATTTTTTAAATGATAGGATCGGAACAAGACATATTAGAAAAGTAATTTCACCACATAGTGAGGGTTGAGAACTCCATTTATTGTTTAACTCCAAATTTAGCATGTTCTAGTTAAGACCTTATATCAGTCGTTAAATCTTGGTGATTAAATTTCCAAGAAAAACAAACAAACAAACAAAAGCATTTCCTCTGTGGAAGGCAATATGCTGTATTGGTTAAGAACACAGACAGGTTCTGGCAGCAGATTTAGCTGTGTCACCTTGAGTAAATTTCTTACTCTCCTTCTGTCTCAGTTTCCTTATCTGTTAAAAAAAAAAGGTGACTTTAGACACATTTACCTTATTTGGGTACTTATGAGAATTAAATGAGTTAATACATACACACACACACACATATATGAACAAATTAGCAATAAGAAAGCAAACAATGCCATCAAAAAGTGGGCTTAGGGCATGAGTAGACAATTCTCAAAAGAAGATACACAAATGGCTAACAAGCACATGGAAAAATGTTCAGCATCACTAATGATCAGGGAAATGTAAATCAAAACCACAGTGCAATACCACTTTACTCCTGCAAGAAGGGCCATAATAAAAAAATCAAAAAATAGTAGATGTTGACATGGATGTGGTGAAAGGGAAGCACTTCTACACTGCTGGTGGGAACGTAAACTAGTAAAACCACTATGGAAAACAGCATGGGGATTCCTTAAAGAACTAAAAGTAGAACTACCAATTGATCCAGCAATCCCACTACTGGGTATCTACCCAGAGGAAAAGATGTCATTATATGAAAAAGATACTTGCACATGCATGTTTATAGCAGCATAATTCACAATTGCAAAAACGTGGAACGAGCCCAAATGCCCATCAATCAATGAGTGGATATAGAAACTGTGGTATATATATATATACACATATATATATATATATATGTATGTATATATAGTGTGTATATATATATACACAATTGTATATGTATATATAATTGTATATATATACACATAATTGTGTATGTATATATAGTGTGTATATATATACAATTGTGTGTGTATATATATACAATTGTGTATATATATATACACAATGGAATGCTACTCAGTCATAAAAAGGAATGACTTAGTGGCATTTGCAGCAACCCAGATGAGATTGGAGACTATTGTTCTAAGTGAAGTAACTCAGGAATGGAAAACCAAACATCGTATGTTCTCACTCATAAGTGGGAGCTAAGCTATGAGGATGCAAAGGCATAAGAATGACACAGTGGACTTTGGGGACTCAGGAAGAAAGGGTGGGAAGGGGGTGAGAGATAAAAGACTACACATAGTGTTCAGTGTATACTGCTCGGGTGTTGGGTGTACCAACATCTCACAAATCACCACTAAAGAACTTACACATGTAACCAAACACCATCTGTTTCCCAATAACCTACGGAAATAAAAAAAAAGTGAGTTAACATACATGAAGTCCTTAGAGAAACACCTGGTATGTAGAGAATATTCATGAGCAGTAGATATTATTATTACCACTTACTGTTCAAGGTTCTGTATCATTTTAGTTGAAGAATATGCTGAGATTTCTAAGCAATTTTAAAAATATATCATTTACAGACATTTGTGTATATGAATCATAATTTTTCTGATACTAGGCAAGCAAAGGAAGTCCAGAAATAAATTAGACATCGAGACAAATGTCAGTGCAATTGATAACCATTATACCAAATTTCAAAATTTCATGTATATCCAGACAGTTTCATTCTTCTCATTAACCGACTTGATAATATGTAAATATTAGGTTGGTGCAAGAGTAAGTGCGCTTTTTGCCATTACTTTTAATCCCACTACTTTGAACATACTTCATATATTTTCCATCATTTTTCTTACCATTTTGTAAACAAATTCTTCCCCCATTCCTTTTAATTGCAAAAAACACACTGACTTTTGTACCAACTTAAATAGTTATATATTTGAAATTAAACAACAAAACTCTTCTGATATAATCTGTTCTATATATTAAGGTTCCATGTAAGATTGATTTTAAAAGTCCGTCCCACTGATTAAAAAAAAAAACTAAAAAGGTTTAAAGTTCATTGATCTAAAGAAAATAGTGTTTCTTTTACTGTAATAATAATGATGATAATATAATTTTTATGAAGTACTCTCTTACCTATGATCTCATTTGTTACAACAACCCAGCAAAACAGCCAGGGTCGGAATTATCATTCATATTTTACTGATGAGAGAATGAAGCCTCGAAGAGGTAAAAGTGACTTACTCGAGTGACAAGGCTATTGTGACCCAAAGCCAGAAAGGATTCCAATCCAATTCTTTATTCCTCATTCAGTTTTTTTACTTGACCTGCCTCGCAGCCGACAGGGCTAAATGTTCCTGTTCCAAAGCTGAGGGCCTTTTCTCCTGGGTGCTCCTGATGCAATGATTTATAGCAGAAGTGCGGGGTCATGCCTTTCTGGCTCCTTACAGGAGGGAGGTTTTCCGTGCACCTTGGCTTCTGATCGCACTGTGTAGTGAATTTGGAGGTGTCAAGGTGGACTCACACGGTAATGTGAGCCTAAGATGAGAAGTTAATTAGGTCTTTTGATATCTAATGAGGTTTCAAATCATTTATCACCAGTAGAGAGCACTATAAGATTAGAATTAATAGCAGGACTTGCATGAAGAAAATAATGTTTGTATCATGAATGTATTACAAAGGCGGAGTTAAAATGATTGATTTTAAGCAAGCATGATCTGCCCTTGTAATAGTAGATCATTTCCATCAGTTGAATCTTTACAAAGCAGTCACTCAAAACTTGCATTTAAATGTAATAGCAATATTAAAAGAAGTAGGCGTTGCTTGCTTGTTGAAGTTACATTGAAGAGGTTCAATTCTGAATCATAACCCAGGCATATGTGCCTTCTACTTGAATATCTTGCTTCCAAACCACTGTTGCAGTGTTTATAACACAGAGTTCCTTCTTTCTTCCTGACTCCTGTGTTGCATATGGGACTCCACACATACAGAATAGGTTCAAAGATATCAAGATACCATGGGGCTTCATGCTGACCCCCTTTATTTTTCTTACTTGGGATTTGTGGCTGTTGGGCTTTCTTAAACCTTTTTTTTCTGGTTGTAGATATAAAATCAAGCTTCATTTCATAAGTAGCCTTCAGTGTATTCATATTATTTAGAGACATGCAGTAAATACAAATCTGCCCACAGTCTACAGACTGAAATATTGGCATTTAGTTCCATCCTAATTACAGTATTTTACTAGTCTAACACTGACATGCATCACACAATGACTTTCATGCTGTGGAAAGCTTTGAAATGGATCTGCCTTAAAGATAGCTGCACTTACACTTCATATGTTTTTCATCATTTTTCTTACCATTTTGCCAGTTCCCCAAACTAGCTGTATTTAAACAAATTCTTCCCCCACAGCCATTTTGTTCTCTGATTTCACCCTGCCGTGAAGTCTCAATGCAAAATCGGCAATAGCATGATTGATCATTTAGCTGACAGCATAGTCATGAACACGAGGTAGAAACTTCACATCCAGTAAGAGGAGAAGCTGGAATGCAGAGGTATTAAAATACAAATATCTCCCATGAAAACAGAGGAAACATGAGAGGTTTAATGTTTGAATAAATCTCCTCTATTCCCCAAACCCTAGCCATTGATAAATGTGCTCCCTCTTCAATCTTGTTTCAGTATTCAAGTTTTCTCATAAGTAGTGTATTTATTGAAAAAAGCCCTCTCCCTTTACTCTGTCCTCATCACAACAGTAAAAGAACCCGCCCCCCGACCCGCCAACCTTGCAAAAAGAGCCTGTGAGAATGCTTTCCTCTAAGGACTCAGTTACTTGCTTGCCTAAATGAAGAAGAGACATGTCTGTAGTAATACTTGCATGTTGGACGAGCCCCATTCAGAAGAAAATCACAATGAGGTTTCTGTTTATACAGGTGCCATTAGGTGTACTTACTGTCACAGTTGTAAGTTAGGTAGCTAACCAAGTGCACTGCACATGGAGTTAAAAAATTCAAATTTAAAAAATGCAAATAAGCTAACTGCTGGCATGAGGATTGGGTCTCCCAAACATAGGTTCTATCATTGTAGTTCCCCAAGGGGGCTCTACATACACTTACAGCAGTATACTGGGCCACTATCCTGGCTATTGAATACCAAGTCCATTTTATATATCATTGACAAAGATTTGTATGGCCTCAAAGAGGACTTTCAATTGGGGGCTATTGCTTTTATTTTTGCCTTTTGTGTAGAATTGGCATTTTAGGGCTGCTGGCAAAATTAATTTACTGACAGTGACAGCATCTGTGAAATACATTTACCTAGAAAATGTAAATATGAATATACATATATCAGAAGAATGTATTATAAAAAGTTTCACATTACTTGCGTTAAATATTCAATGATATAATAGTTATGAACCCATTTGATCTAGAGTCTCACCACAGTAGGGTAGTATTTTTAATAATAATTTTTTGAATCTTATACATTTTAAATTTATTATTTGGGGCTTTAATTTTGTATATACATAAGTGTCTCTTAAGTGAAGGAATTTAGCACAGGTTAACTGATAAACTGAAATGACAGATATGTACTAGGCACTCCCACTCAGCTTGTGTGAAAAAAGAGGGCAAGGAAGTCCAAAAAATACCTCAAGTTTTCTGCAAATTACATAAGCCTTGCTCTTTCCAACCTTTTATAATTCACCTTTCCTCTTGTTCAGTCATTCAACAATTACTTATTACTTTTACTTTATATTTGAAGTATTATCTTATTTTCATAGTTGAGCTTATAAATGATACATAGAAAGCATGAGCAGAGAAACTTATCAGAAGCTTCCATCACTGAGCAGAAACTCTCAGATTTGGGATGTGATCCACTTGTTTCTTTTATGTAATTTTTGCTCTCTTTGCAGCCCAGCTGTTCTCCCAAGAACTTGTTGTTGTTTTTCTCAGTATTTCCTTATTTCAGATTCCAGTGATACATATGTGTGAGACTTTAAAAAATTCTTCTTGTGCCATGTCCTCTTAACATATAGCTAAAACTCCTGGGCATCAGAAACAGTAGGCAAAACTTGAGTCAAATCAATTTTTTTTTTTCCTGTCTGAGAGATCTGTATTTCACAACAATAGTAAAGTAGATGGTTTGGAAGCAGAACATGACATACAGTCCTCCAAACATCATCCAACCTTCTCTATGCAGTACATAGCATGAAACTTGGCATAACACACCTTGGACCAGGTCCAGTGGCATTCAATCACTGGCAATGCTGGAAACGCTTTGATGAATCATGGACTCACTATTACCAAACAATTTCATGGCCCTTCCCTAAGGATGGTGTAATAGTGGGACTTCAGTGTATTATATAAAAAGAAAAAAAATACATATAGGAATATATGGAATAGTCTTGTTTATCTCTAACCCCTCCACACACACACACACACACACACACACACACACACACACACACAAATATGATGAAAACACACTCTCTTTAGTCCTTCCCATTTGTCCATTTGCAGACTAGTATTTCTGTTTTCTTCAGTGACTATGTGACTCTTAATGCCCAGTCAAAATCAATTTCAGGAAAAAATTCATTACATTTTGCCATCACTGGCAATGCTACATAATAGGTACTCAGTAAGTATGCATTTGAGTAGTGAATGACTGCATCTGTCAAGATGAAAATAAGGTTTTCCAAATTAGAATCATTTTGTTGGTCTTTCAGCTTTGGTACCTGTAAGTTATTTTTGTTCTTTGAAAATTTGATTGTAAACAATATTGTTGCCATTTCCAATTTAAAAATCTTTGACTCTTATATTAATTGAGAAAATGTATATATGAAGTGTCTTGCACGGTTCTTGATACGTGGTAGGGCAGGCAGTGTTAGAATGAAAATTTGTTGAAAATAGTGTGATAGGTTCAATTGCATTAAATAAAATGAAAACATTAAAAGATTACTGATTAGAGCACCTGTAAGCTGTAATGCAAACAAAGGAATTGTAGGGATACAGATTAGCCTTATACCATATAGAATAAAAAGCGAAGGGGAAGAAAATCCAAGAAGAAAGAAGAGAGGGAAGAAGACTGGTTAAACCTCCTATTTATTAAAATTCAATATTATTTTGGAAAAAAAGAAATGTTGGACTTTATAATTCTTGTTATTTAATATTTTAAAAACTGTGATAAAATACACATAACATAAAATTTACCATTTTATTCATTAAAAAGTGTACAATGTAGTAGCATTTAGTACACTCATAATATTGTGCAATGGTCACCACTGTCTAGTTCCAGAACATGTTTATTACCCCAAAAGGAAACCCCATGCCCATGAAGCAATCACTCCCCATTTTACCCTTCACCCAGTCCCTGGAAACCACTAATTTGCTTTCTGTCCTTATGGATTATCCTGTTGTGGATATTTGATATAAAGGAAATCATATAATATGTGGCTTTTTGTGACTGACTTCTTTAACTTAGCTTAAAGTTTTTGAGGGTCACCCATGTTGTAGCATACTCATCACTTCATTCCTTTATAGGGATGAATGATATGCCATTGTAAAAATAGATGACATTTTGTTTATCCATTTATCACTTGATGGACACTCGGGTTGTTTCCACCTTTTGGCTATTGTGAAAAGTGCTGCTATGAGCATTTGTGTATAAGTTTTAGTTTGAACACCCATTTTATATTCTTTTGAGTAATATACATAAGGAGTGGAGTTGCTGGGTGTGATGGTTAATTTTATGTGTCAACTTGACTAGGCAAAGGGATGCCCAGATAGCTCCCTTACTAATATACAGGATCACATGATAATTAGATGTTTGGCTTACGGGGGAACTACCCTAGTGTTTTCCACAGTGGCTGCACCATTTTACATTTCCACCAGCAGTGTAGGTATGTTCCAATTTCTCCACATCCTCATCAACAATTATTATTTCTCATTTTTCTTGTAGTCACCCTAGTGGGTGTAATTTTCTTACTCTAAATTTCCTCCCATATTCCACATTGGAAGTATGCAATATTGTACAGGGCAAAGATGAAGTACCATATACTATTAGTGCTGGCTGAGGGCCAAATAGTGGAGGAAGTGCTGTTTGACTTTCATGCCTCTACATTCCCATTCTGTATCCTTCTTTTATCCACCTTTGGTGGTGCCTCTTCTGTTTTCAGGTCCTTAGTGTCTGCCTTGGTCAAGGTATGACTTATTCACTTTAAGAGACCTGTATAACATCTCACTCATGTTGGGAGTATTTATATTTTAACAGACAAACTAAACTTCTGAAATTGCCAGCAATTAGCAGGCATCTATTTTAGGAGGCACAGGGTAGACAGTAGGCTTGCTATGAGTCTCTATTATAGATAATGGATGTGAGCTCACAGTCTGCTGACTGATGCCGAGTGTGAATGATGTTCACATAATAAAGCACATGAAAAGGAGTCAATTGGTCAACTCTCAGGAGGGTAGTCAGTCATTCATTTGATAAGAATTGGTCAAATGCTTATTTTGTGCTAGGTACTGGGAGTGGCATTGTGGGTTGAATCTGTACTGCATCCTGATTTCAAGGAGCTTATGTTAGAGTTGTGTTTACAAGCAGTAGGGCTGATGTTACAGGGACCCACATTATCCTCTGATAAGGCTACCTTGTGACTACTGGACAACATGTATGCAGTAGCTGACCAGGTATACAAATATAGTCTGTGCTCCTGAAAACAGCAAAATGAACTTAGGAATACTCAAAATGCTCCTGTGACTCATACGCTAAAGTTTTAGGCCCCTATTGCCCATATCTTAGACCTGAACTGTCCAATACAGTAGTCGTATGTGACCTTCAACACCTAAAATGTGTAGTGCAACTGAGGAACTTATTAAAATGAATTTTGATTGATTTATATTTTAAAACTGGTACTTGATTCAGTTATTGGAAAACTTTCACATGCTTGGAACAGCTTGGGCATATGAATCTACTTTGTCAACTATAAATGTTATTAGCTCTAAATAGAGATCAAATATTTCCAATGAACATTTAGCATCCAAATTGGGGTGTGCTAGAAATGCACACCACGTTTTACAAAAACAGACATATAGACCAATAGAACAGAATAGAGAAGTCAGAAATAAGATCAAACACCTACAACCATCTGATCTTTGACAAGCCTGACAAAAACAAGCAATAGGGAAAGGATTCCCTATGTAATTAATGTTGCTGGGATAACTGGCTAGCTATATGCAGAACATTGAAATTAAACCCCTTCCTTACAACTTACACAAAAATTAACTCAAGTTAGATTAAAGGCTTAAATGTAAAACCCAAAACTATAAAAAAAAAAAAAACCCTAGGAGAAAATCAAGGCAATACCATTCAGAACACAGGCACGGGCAAATATGTCATGACAAAAACACCTAAAGCAATTGCAACACAAGCAAAAATTGACAAATGGGATGAAATTAAACTAAAGAGCTCTTGCACAGCAAAAGAAACTATCATCAGAGTAAACAGACAACCTACAGAATGGGAGAAAATGTTTGCAATCTATCCACCTGACAAAGGTCTAATATCCAGGGTCTAAAAGGAGCTTAAACAAATTTACAAGAAAAAAACAACCCAATTAAAAAGTGGGCAAAGGACATGAACAGACACTTCTCAAAAGAAGACACATATGTGGCCAACAAACATGAAAAAAAGCTCAACATCAGTGATCATCAGAGAAATGCAAATTAAAACCACAATGAGATACCATCTCACAACAGTCAGAATGGTGATTATTAAAAAGTCAAGAAGTGTCTGTTCATATCCTTTGCCCACTTTTTGATGGGGTTGTTTGTTTTTTTTCTTGTAAATTTCTTTAAGTTCCTTGTAGATTCTGGACATTAGTCCTTTGTCAGATGGATAGATTGCAAAAATTTTCTCCCATTCCATAGGTTGCCTGTTCACTCGGATGATAGTTTCTTTTGCTGTGCAGAAGCCCCTTAGTTTAATTAGATCCCATTTGTCAATTTTGGCTTTTGTTACCATTGCTTTTGGTGTTTTACTCATGAAGTCTTTGCACATGCGTATGTCCTGAATGGTATTACCTAGGTTTTCTTCTAGGATTTTTATGGTTTTAGGTCTTAATGTTTAAGTCTTTAATCTATCTTGAGTTAATTTTTGTATAAGGTGTAAAGAAGGGGTCCAGTTTCAGTTTTCTGCATATGGCTAGCTAGTTTTCCCAACTATAGGGAATCCTTTCCCCATTTCTTGTTTTTGCCAGGTTTGTCAAAGATCAGATGGTTGTAGATGTGTGGCATTATTTCTGAGGCCACTGTTCTGTTCCATTGGTCTAGATCTCTGTTTTGGTACCAGTACCATGCTGTTTCAGTTACTATAGCCTTGTAGTATAGTTTAAAGTCAGGTAGCGTGATGCCTCCAGCTTTGTTCTTTTGGCTTAGGATTGTCTTGGCTACATGGGCTCTTTTTTGGTTCCATATGAAATTTAAAGTAGTTTTTTCTAGTTCTGTGAAGAAAGTCAGTGGTAGCTTAATGGGGATAGCATTGAATCTATAAATTACTTTGGGCAGTTTGGCCATTTTCACCATGTTGATTCTTTCTATCCATGAGTATGGAATGTTTTTCCATTCGTTTGTGTCTTCTCTTATTTCCTTGAGCAGTGGTGTGTAGTTCTCCTTGAAGAGGTTCTTCACATCCCTTGTAAGTTGGATTCCTAAGTATTTTATTCTCTTTGTAGCAATTGTGAATGGGAGTTCATTCATAATTTGGCTTTCTGTTTGTCTATTATTGGTGTATAGGAATGCCTGTGATTTTTGCACATTGATTTTGTATCCTGACACTTTGCTGAAGTTGCTTATCAGCTTAAGATTTTGGGCTGAGACGCTGGGGCTTTCTAAATATACAATCATGTCTTCTACAAACAGAGACAATTTGACTTCCTCTCTTCCTATTTGAATATGCTTTATTTTTTTCTCTTGCTTGATTGCCCTGGCCAGAACTTCCAATACTATGTTGGATAGGAGTTGTGAGAGAGGGCATCCTTGTCTTGTGCCAGTTTTCAAAGGGAATGCTTCCAGCTTTTGTCCATTCAGTATGATATTGGCTGTGAGTTTGTCATAAATAGCTCTTATTATTTTGAGAAGACATTTATGCAGCCAACAAACATATAAAAAAAAGCTCATCATCACTGGTAATCAGAGAAATGCAAATCAAAACCACAATGAGATACCATCTCATGCCAGTTAGAATGGCGATCATTAAAAAGTCAGGAAACAACAGATGCTGGAGAGGGTATGGAGGAATATAAACGCTTTTACACTGTTGGTGGGAGTGTAAATCAGTTCAACCATTGTGAAAGACAGTGTGGCGATTCCTCAAGGATCTAGAACCAAAAATACCATTTGACCCAGCAATCCCATTACTGGGTATATACTCAAATGATTATAAATCATTCTACTGTAAAGCCACATGCACACGTATGTTTACTGCAGCACTATTCACAATAGCAAAGATTTGGAACCAACCCAAATGCCCATCAATGATAGACTGGATAAAGAAAATGTGGCACATATACGCCATGGAATACTATGCAGCCCTAAAAAAGGATCAGTTCATGTCCTTTGCAGGGACATAGTTGAACCTGGAAACCATCATTCTCAGCAAACTAACACAGAAACAGAAAACCAAACACCACGTGTTCTCACTCATAAGTGGGAGCTGAACAATGAGAAGACATGGACACAGGGAGGGGAACATCACACACCAGGGCCTATTGGGGGGTGGAGGGCTAGGGGAGGGATAGCATTAGGAGATATACATAATGTAGATGGTGGGTTGATGGGTGCAGCAAACCACCATGGCAAGTGTATACCTATGTAGTAAACCTGCACCTTCTGCACATTTGTCCCAGAATTTAAAGTATAATTTTAAAAAAGTCAAGAAACAGCAGATGCTGGTGAGGATTCAGAGTAAAAGGAACACTTTTACACTGTTGGTGGGAACGTAAATTAGTTCAACCATTGTGGAAGATAGTTTGGCGATTCTTCAAAGATCTAGAAGCAGAAATACCATTTGACCCAGCAATCCCATATACTGGGTATATGCCTAAAGGAATATAAATCATTCTATTATAAAGATACATGTGTGTGTATGTTCATTCCAGCACTATTCACAATAGCAAAGACATGGAATCCACCCAAATGCCCATCAGTGATAGATTGAATAAAGAAAATGTGGTATATATATATGTGTATACATATATATATACCATGAAATACTGTGTGGCCATAAAAAAGAAGGATATTGTATTCTTTGCAGGGACATAGATGGAGCTGGAAGCCATTAACCTCAGCAAACTAACACAGGAACAGAGAACCAAACGCTGCATGTTCTCCCTTATAGCTGAATGATGAGACCACATGGACAGGGTTGGGGGATGGGGGTGGAAACAACACACACTGGGGCCTATTAGGGGTGGAGGTGGGGGTAGATAGAGCATCAGCAAGACAGCTAAGGGATGCTGGGCTTAATACCTAGGTGACGGGTTGATCTGTGCAGCAAACAACCATGGTACACGTTTACCTATGTAACAAACCTGCACATCCTGCACATGTACCCTAGAACTTAAAATAAAAGTTGAAGGGGGAAAAAAATAAGTACCTATCAGGTTTCAGAAGCTTATTATAAAAAAGGAATGTAAATTGGCTCTTTAATAATTTATACATAGATTACAGAGTGAAATATGATTTTGAATTTGTTTAGAAAAATTATTAATAATATTAAAATCAATTTCTGTGATTTTCTTTTAATTTTTGAGAATGTGGCTGCTAGAAAATTTTAAATTACTTCTGTGACTCACAATGTGATTGTGTTTCTACTGAATAACACTGCTCTACAAGATTAGGGTTATATGAATCTATGTTTCTTTTACTGTAATATATGCATCTTTTCTTTGTTTTCATTTTACTCCACCTTTATTAAGGTATAATTGACAAAAATTTGTATATATTTATAGTGTACAGTGTGATGTTTTGATATATGTACACGTTGTGAAATAATTTTCACAATCAAGCTGATTAACATATCTATCACCTCACATAGTTATCGTTTTTGTGTGTGGTGAGAATATTTATGATCTACTGTCTTAGCAGTTTTCAAGTATGCCATGCATTATTATTAGCTATAGTCATCATACTGTACAATAGATATCCAGAACTTATTTATCCTGTGTAACTGAAATTTGATACCCTTTAATCAACATCTCCCTATTCTTCACCCCTGCTCCCAGTCCCTGTCAACCACTATTTTACTCTCTGCTTCTATGAATCCAAACTTTCTAGATTCCACATATAAGTGAGACTATGTGGTTTTTATTTTTCTGTGCCTGTATTATTTCACTTAAGTTAATGTCCTCCAAGTTCATACATGTCACAAATGATGGAATTTGCTTCTTTAAGGCTGAATAGTATTCCATTGTGTGTGTATGTGTGTGTGTGTGTATATATATATATATATATATATATATATATACACACTAAACCTTCTTTATCCCTTCATCTGTTGATGGACACTTAGTTTGATTATATCCTGGCTATTGTGACTAGTGCTGTAATGAACATGCAGGTAGATTTGGAGTAAAACTCCCCCTTTGGCATTCCACCTTCTTTCATCACAACTCCCAGGGATACCATCACCTTGCCACGCTTCTCGAGGCTGACATCCAGCAAATGGTAAATACATGAAGAAACATCTGGGACTTTCTCACAGCCCTCTTTCTAAATACATTTTTTCCCTTTCGGTCCATGGCCAGGTTCACTTATAATTCCAATACACTCAAGTCATGCTCCCCTAGGCTTTACTTAAGTGACAAAACCATCCAATAGAGTAATTTATACTAAAATGATCTTAGTTTGATATGTTCTTCCTCTCAAGGGTATTTGCATTTTAAAATTTACTGCCTGCAGAGAGCAACAGTTAACTCAAAGGGAAGAATTTAAGAGTGATATTTTGAACACTATGACTAGTAAACTTGATCTAGTTTCCTAGTTATAAACAAAACAAACAGATAAAAATCTTAGGTCTTCCTCCATACATTCTCTTCCTGTTCCCCATCTTCTTCTCCCTGAGTAAGTAGCCATTGATAGAAAAATGATCCTTGACTTTAGGTAAATTTATCTGTTTCATACGGTAAAGTGAAATATTTATGATCAATCAGAGGTAAGGTTGGAAACAAATTAATGTGCCTTTTATTTCTTTCTTTGTTCTAGATATGATAATAATGAGCAGTTTCTCTTTCATAAGACTGTCAGCTCCTCTAGGGTTGGCTGCCTGGAATTGGAAATACCAAATAAGCGTTCAGTCAATTCATTTGATTTTATTATGAGCTCATTAAAAAAATACAACCACTCTCAGTAGAGCACAACTTATTAGCCCAAAGAATCCAGCGGAAGGTATTGGTCCATTCTTTAGTCTTCACAAAGAGATTTATAGCTGAAAGAACTAGAAGACTGTTCTGCTGTACAACCTACAGCATGTACTTCTATCTCTTCATTTTATTAGGAAATATTGAATATGTTATCATAAGTATAACAAGGTGGATGTTGTTTCTCCCAGTGTAAGGATAAACATGTAATCTAATTATGTTTATGAATTTTTCTTACTTACTTGAAATTATCTCTTTTGATAGAAGACTGATACGTTGAATTGTTCTCTGAAAGTCGACAGGGAGTGAAAGAATTTAAGCTTCTCTTCTTTAGGTTGAAATGGGAGGACCCCTTTGAACTGGAAAAGGAGGAACTGTCTTAGGAGTTTGTAAATATATTGTACCTATCAAGAGTACAGGAATGTGATTTTGGAGTATCCCGGAGAGTGCTTATTTTACTGCCCCATTGCCAATGGAAAACTTGAGACAGAATAGGGTTAAGCAGTTTCCCAGTGTTCCACAGTAAATTGGCAGTTGAATTGGGATTAGAATCTAGGTCTCCAAACCTTGGGGACTTCTCTATTAGCTCAGATCATGTACGGCTCAGCAGTTTCTTTCACAAGATCCTCCTGACATGACACATGCCATCAGTCTTATTTTATAACAGATGTTTTGAGGGTGGAGCAGATGGTCTCTTCCCTTCACCCTCCCAGCCCTTGACTCCAGAGAGTCAGAACATGTCAGATATGGCACTCATAGCCTTCTTTCCCCCGGGGTCTATCTCCCTTTCTGCTCATCCTTCTCATATGCTCATCTTTCCCATAATCAAGAAAATGCTGTTCCTATGGTTTCCTTTTTTGATGAGGCTATGTACTTTTCCCATCAAGTTTTTTTTTTTTTGTCATTTATGTTCTTGTTGTCCTGACTTTCCTTTAATTTTTGTAGAAGACAGCATTGTCTAGTTGGTGGGAAGAACACCGTCCTCTAAGACACTGGCCTCCACATCACATTATGACTCTTAATATAATGAATGACCTATGGCCAGTTGCTTTCTACCTTTGTGTTGTGTACATTTTGGACTATCTTTGGTCCCCTGGAGTACTTCCTTGGGGAGCCACTGTCCTAGAGTACTTAGAAATTTGGAGAAAAAGATCAAGGCCTCATCAACAAGTTCCAGATGCTCCACTATCTTTGTCACCCATGGTTTACGTGCAGCTTGCTCTCTGTATTACCATTTTTATTCTTCAATGCTTTTCTACTATATTTTGCTGCTTTAATGTTGTTAAATGGGCTTCTGACATTTATTTCTTTTTTCTAGCTAACCAGAGAACTTTACGTCCTAAGGGAACCCAGTATTAGATATATATGTGTGCATTTATACGTACACACATGTGCGTGTGTGCCTGCATGCACGTGTGTTCATGCACTTCTACAAATTTCAGTGAATTGTATTTAATGGCAGAAACATTGACTCTGGTGTCATAGATGCTTTTATTTACCAGCCTTGACATATACAAGCTGTGTGACTGTGGGCAGGTCATTCTACCTGTTCTGTACAGACACCCAGGAAATCACTGCTGCTGTGGAGAAGCAATTGAATACACAAGCTGTGTTAAAAACAATGAAAACCAAAAAGAAGAAAGAAGTTTCTTCACTTGTGAACCATTGCCCCAAGGATGGAATAACTGCCAACTGATCCATCCCCTTGCCTCAAAGTGAGCAGTCCTGAGTAGATTGAGCAGCTAGGTTCATGTGAACTTGTCCCATTCTGGGAAATCCTCTAAGGGAAACTAGTCAGTTTTCCTTTCAGTGCTGCAGACAAACTACCTCATTTACATTTTAATGCAAGAAATGAATGGAAATGATGGCCATTTGCTTCTGACCATAGCCAGAATCATTTAGTTTTTTTTTTTTAATTTTGCTATGTTATTACTAACAAAACAGCCTTATAATTAATCCCAATGTACTTTCCTGTATTGGGCTGAATGGGTATAATCAGAATGACAATGTAGAATTATAAACTGAAAGATTCTTATTTTCCTGGTGAGTTTATCATGAAGCCCTCCTGTGCCTTTTTGCCGTAACATAGTGCAACACTTTTATCTGCAGCCAGTAACAGGCCTTGTTTTTATCTTCTATCCTAACTTGGGATTCAGTTGCCTTTTACTCTCTGTTTATCTCTGTTTGAGGAAGTGCAGAATGCAGATGGCGAATGTTGATTCTCCTTGGACATGACCTTGAAGTTGGACCCTAGAGGGTCCTAGGAATTTTCCAATTATTTATTCCAATGTTAACATGTTTTATGATCTCCCTGGGCTTTTCTCTCCTCACAGTAACTCTGGTTAGGAGATTGGATTAAGTGATCTCTCATTAAGTGAACACCATTGCCCTTGGTTTCTTAATTTGGCCACTAGCCAACATCTGTCCCTTTCTACCTTGGGGTCTAAAGTCTCTCATCTTTATATCCAAAGATGATTCTGAGATTCCAAGTAAGAAAAGTCTATTTAAAACAATTGAAGGGACCAATTTGTTTTAAACATTTCATCTTATTTTGTCATTGCTTTATCCACTTTTCAGTCTTTTAAAATAAATACTGGTATAATGGCAGCAAAATCTTGTGAGAATATCATCTCTCCTAAATGTACAACTTCCTTGAAATATGCTGACTTTTGTATGGTCCTAGAACTAGAGGAAATTTATGAGGGCTTTGAACCCAGCTTCTATTTTTAAGGCTTCTTCCTCTAAATTCTCCATGATAGATGATTGCTCACTAGGGGTGGAAAATTTTATAATAACATTTGATGGCCTATTCCAATGTCTGGACAGTTGTTCAGTGGATACTCCTAAGACATTGCTGTGTTACACTGAAAATCACATTAGACTTTTGCTCTTCTAATTTGTTTGAGTTTACAAAACACCAGCCAATATTCTGTTCACAGAGCCACAGATGTGAGGGCTGTATCATGTATCACCAGAGTTGATTCACCTGCTCTAGCTGACTAGAAGGCTGTCCCCTTCCTCCCTCACTTCTCTGCACTTAGCCAAAGAGGACAATCTTTTCAGATACTTACAGTGTTATTTGTATGCCAATTGGTACTTGGTAGCAATACTAAGCAAGCATCAGCCTGTAAGCTTGAGTTCACAAAAGTCGTTATACTACATTAGAATATGCAAGGGTTTGAGTTCTCACAAGGACCAGAAGGGCTGCATAATGATGCCGTACTGCCTATGTTGACTCCTGTGGAATGCATTTTGTGTACAGTTTTCTAATGATGCTCTAGGGACTTTCCATTCCATTAGTCCTTTGGCACCTTCTAATATATTTACTGACTTAGGACATGCCTCAATGCCCCCCAAAAGGGTTAGAATTGGTTTCCATGGGCAAGGCTGCTTGGTGGGTAATTTAATTCTTTGGAAGTTTTTCATGCTGGTCCTCTGTTAATTTCCACAATTTTCAATGTTCTCTGTGAGTGTCATCACAAGGAGAAAAATTGAGAGAACCTTGAACATTGCTTTATTTCTTCTACACTCTTGAATGTGGAGGAAATAAAAAGATGGTTGGTTGTCCCAAACCTGGCTTTGGATCATAGGGTCCCAATTTGCTTCTCAAACCTCTTTTCTTCTCATTTCCTGCACTCTGGGCACCAGGGATCTTCCCACCACAGGCTTTCACACCTGTTTTTTTTTTTTTTTTCCTGTTTCTCTGTTTTTGATGCTTTTTTTCTTCCTTATTATTTGGCAATTCTCTCATTTGCCCAGCTAGCTCTATGGTTTTGACTTAAATGTCACCTCCTCAAAGCTGCCTTTCTTAGCTCTAGCGATTATGTCAGGCCTTTCCGGACCATTTATCTCCTTAGTTGCATTTGTCAGAGAGGAAAATTATATCTTTACTTGCAATATCTCTTCACATGGTGAAGAATAGAGCACAGCAAAGCTACCCTCAGAGGCAGATGCTCAGTCAGGCAAAGGGATCTGCTTTTCTGTAGCTCATGATATTAACACATTTCTGGATGTTTATTGGGCCACTCAAACCTGGCATTAAATCCATGAATGGCAACAGTCTTTGAGGGTCTGCTGAGTGACTTTAACCTTAATGACAAATTGAGGAACATTTGATCCATTTGATATCAAATTAAATTAATGATTATTTGCCAAACACCTATGAGTAGTATTGTGTTAAGTGCCTTGAGGTAAAAAAAAATTATAGAACCTGCTACCTACCTTGTGATCTGGTTGTGTAAGCCTGCGATCTGGTTAAGATGAAACAAACTTCATACTCAAAAAATTAGCAACTTCCCCTCCCCTGGTGATTACACAAGTCCTCTCTTCTTGAATATGAGCATGAGCTATCACTTGCTTCTAACCAATAGAATATGGCAAAGGTGACAGCCCCTACATGATTACATGTATGTGATTGCATAATCTAGACTGTATTGCTTGAGTCTATTTTTCTGTTGCTAACTTTGAAGAACTAAGCTGTGATAAATCCCATGGCCAACTGCAAGGAAATGAGTTCTGTTAACAAACTGAGGCACACTGGAAGTAGGTCCCTCCCCAGTCAGGATTTCAGATGAGATCCCAGTCCCGGACTGCAACTTTGTGAGAAACCCTAAGCAAAAAGCCCAGGTAGGCTGAGCCCAGACTCCTGATGCACAGAAACTGTGAGGTAATACATGTGTGTCATTTTAAGCCTTTGAATTTTTGGTAGTTGTTACATATCACAGAAAACCAACATTGCTATCTAATAATTATTTGCATGATCAGAATCAAATGCTTATCCCCCACATTTTATGAGTTTCTTATGGACAGGAACCATGTCTCTCTCTTTTATTGCTCTATCCTCTATGCGTATGACAATGCCAGGCAGAGTTGCCACTAAATAAATATTTGTTGAGTAAATTTATGAATAAATAAACAAATAAATTGGAATGTCAAACTTAGTTCAGGGCACCACATGTGAAGATACATTTAGCAAATTTTACAATCTTTAGTGCAAAGCCACAATAATTAAGGTAAGATGTGTGGAAACCATGGCATGTGAGGAACAGTTAAGACAATTGCAGATACTTGGGTGAAGAAGTAAGAACATCAGATGGGAAGTAATTACTAGGGCTCAGACATGTAAAGATGTGTCCCATGGAAAAGAAGCCCTGCCCATGCACTGTTGCAACCCCATAGGTTAGTTGAACTTGGAAGCCAATGAGTGGGAGATATTGGAAGACAAATTTTGCTTGGTGTAAGGAAGAGTGTGTTTATGGTGATGGTAGTGTGGTTAACAATTATAGCTGCTTTTTGCTCCATGAGGTAGTAGTGAGTTCCATTTCACTGGAGGTGCTTAATCGGAGAAAGGCAACCACTTTTTAAGGATGTAGTAAAGAGGACCTCTTCATTTAAAATGCTTATTGTACAGTTAGGGAAGAGGACAGATACAGAAGATACATATTAACAAGACACTATGCTAAGTGTCAAATGAGATACAGACAACAAATCAAATATACACTATTTTAGAGAAAGAAGTTGTCCTGAAGGCCAAGCAATTAAAGAGGACTTTGTAGAGGAGACTGTATTTGAAAGAAGAGTAAGTGTTGGATAAGTGAATCCAATAAGTGTGGGATATTTCATACATGAGTAATAGCATGGACAAAAGGGAAAAGCACATTCCAGTCTACAAATTACTAGGCCCACCTAGCCATCTCCTGTTTAAAATCACAATGAGCTGCATTCTCTATCTTTGCTTACCAAGTATTTCTGCAGGTGCTCTGCCCAGGTACCTCCCGTCTTTGTATTCATACACCTCAACTTCTTTCTGAGCCTAGAAGTGCATAGACTACCAGAAGCTATTGGTAGATGTGTGTCTTTGGTTTTTTTTTTCAATTATAGAAGAGACTATGTCAGAGCACACTAGCTGAAAACACAGTCATTAGTCATGTGCTTTCCCAGCCTAAGCAGTGAATTAATGTGAAATTTGAACACATTTCTTAGCGTCTTGATTTTTTAATTTCTGCTACAAAATGATAATGCTTCTGGGTTTCTCATTGAAACCTCAGGGTGCTGAGTATTAACTAAAGAGAAATAGCAGTTACTGGCACACTCTGTGTTTATTCTATTACCAAAGATGTCACCAACAAAAACAAATCCTAGACCTTCATTCTCATCCACTATAGTGGGTTCTTTAAAGAGCTAGGATGCCAGGGAGGGAATTGATGAAGACTAGTGATGAAGTATTACTTCTTCAGATGAAAAAAAGAGCTCCTCCCATTTCAAAATAAATTCTTGCCTTCTAACATTAGGTAAGTTACTGATTTATGGAGTAGTTTTTGACAACACTGAGGCTTAAAACTCTCTTCACAGCATGGATACCAGCAGCCTGAACTTTTCCCTACCCTATTTTAGGAACTTTGACCCCAGAGGATCATCCTCTTACTCTCCAAAAGGAAACGCCTATTTCATTTTATGCTGGCAGAACATTTTAAAGCTAAATAATGTAATTTAATGTCACCTATCTGGAAAAATATCCATTTGAGTAACAGCCAGATCTTTCTAAATATATCTTTTTTTTTTTTTTTTTTTTTTTTTACTGATTTAAAATTTAGAACTGTCTTTTATTGAGGAAGAGGAAGGCTGTGTCTGGGCCCCTAAATGAATGGCCTTTATTTAAAACCTTTCTCCATATTAACTTCCTTTGACTTTCATGTCAATCTAGAAGACTTCATGAAGTAGTTGTTGCTGATATTTATATTTTTATCCCTGAAGTCAGGCAGACTCCTTACACTCTCTTAACTTAGATGAGGTAAACTGCCTTATTATCATGAGCTATTTTTGATGGAATGGGCTTCAATCCCATAGAATAAACACAATTACTAATTGAAGGCCAGGGTGTAACCATAGGGCTGTTGCCACTAAAGGCAAATGGGGAGGTCTGTACGAGCACTACAAAACAAAGAGATGAATATAGGTGGGCCAATAGTGAGAGAGTGAAAATTCAATCTCTACTATTTGAGCTAACCTAAATAAGTTTGATCTGGCAACACCTAGACTGGCAGATAGATATCCTCCTACTAGGTAAAGCACGGTTCTTCAATGATGAAACACCATTCTTTAGTATTGAAACAATAGTAGGGAGGTTAATGAGTACAGACATACAATTAAATAGAAGGAATAAGTTCTAGTGTTTGATAGCACAACAGGGTAACTATGGGTAACAGCAATTTATTGTGTATTTTAAAATAGCTGGAAGACAAGATAAGAAATATTCTCAAACACAGAGAAAAGATGTTTGAGGTGATGGATATCCTAAATATCCTGATTTGATCATTACACATTGTATGTATGTGTCAAAATATCATATGTGCCCCATAAATATGTACAATTATAATGTATCAATTAAAAATTTAAAAGATTAAGATGGCAAATTTTACATTATGGGTTTTTTGCCACAATTATTTTTTTTCAATGCTAGTTTTAGAACACTACTGCAAGTGTGCTAGGTCAAATCTCTTGGGTAAAGGGACTGGGAATGTGCATTTTAACAAGCTCCCTGGGGATTCTCAGGCACACACTAAGGTCTGAGAAGAGCTGTGCTTGGCCCCTACAATTCACAGAGCTCTATTCACCCACATCTTCTCATTTAACACATACCAACTCTGTAGGTGGGTATTACTGTAATCACTATTTCGCCAATAAGGAAATTAAGGCTCAGAAAAGCTAAGCAAATTGCTTTGGATCATAGAGCCAATAAATGGTGGAGCCAGGGTTCAAATCTGGGTCCACCTGCATCACATTGATTTTGTTTCATTGTGTATTTCAACTTGTTTCTTATCCATGGAAGTGAAAGTTAGACTGAATCTACCTTCATGTGTTTGACAAAGTATTAAATGTCTCAAAACAGTATTTATCTGATCTTTTGTGGTTATTCCTATTAGCCTTTTTAGCCGGTGCTCATTCTTGTTTAGTGCTGTCTGATTTGTCACTCACTCTGATGCACAGGTATTATTCGATTGAACCAAACCAGGTTTTTCTTCTATTTGGATCAATGCTCTATATCTTTAGCCACCCGATGTATATATCTTATAAAATTCCCTATGTAGATTCATCTGCAGTTTTCTGTATTTATTTCCTCTAATTTCAAGATATAACTTTGAATTCTGTTGATATATCTCACAAAAAGTTTATTGAATTAATTAATATTGATCTTCTGCTCATAAATCTTTAGTGGCTCCTGAGTACCAAATTGTCTACTGAGTAATGTCCAAATTCCTTAACTTTGTATGTGAGACCTCTATAATCTGCTGTCAAGCTACCTTTCTAGCCTTTTCTCCTCTACATGTCTGATATTACATTCAATTGGATAAAGAGTATTTGTCACTTTTGAGTATATGCATTGAACTTTTCTACCTTCCTGCTTTTGCTGCTGCCATTTCCAGTGTTTAGAATGCCTTTTCCAACCATATTTACCAATCTTTAGAAATTTGGCCCAATTCTTTCTGCATATGATCCCACCCTAAAGTGACTTCTCATCTTATGTGTTTTTAGTGCATTTAATTTGTTTTATGCATAAGACAAATTTTTTCAACTGCCTTGTATTACTGCAATTTTAATTTGTGGCCAATTTTTGCCTATGAGATTATAAGGACTTTAAGACAGACCATAAACTTGTAGTCCTTAGTTTAACATTACTTTTGAACCTACTGTGTGTCACCCACTCTTCTAGGCACAAGGATCACTGAGATAAAAGAGAATTCCTGCCCTCGTGGGGCTCACAGCATAAAAGAGGAGACAGAGAGGTAAACAACTTTATATGTCATACAAGTATAACTCCTCACATTCACCCTAAGAATTGCCACTCTGTACCTATCTTTTAAATTCAACAGAGTGGTCAGCAATGTAATTTCTTTGATAATTAATGACATATTTCAATCAGATCAAAAACTATTAGCTAGCAATCACATAACTTCTGAGCTAAAACCAAATATAAATGGAATTTCACATAACTGGCCTGAGATATTTTAATTCATGTGTCTGAACTTGGATGGGACCCGCTGAATCCTCTTCAATAGTCAATAAACCTTTTGCAATGAAAAATAAACATATGACGGTGATTTAGTGAGTGTTTCTTATGTCAAGAGAAGGCTGTAGGTTTTGTGTTCACTTATTTAGTGGGGTTTTCTTTGTCACCTATGATTATACTCATCTGAAACTATGAAAAAAATCAATATGGTATTGGATTGCTTTGGGATGGGAGGGGGTGGATTAGAGAATAAGAAAATATCATACATGAACACAGTTACTTTGTGATAAAGAATTACAAACAGAAAATACAGGCTGATAAAGCCTTAGAATGAAATTGAAATTATTCCTGCATTCACTTGGTATTCTGTAGTATTTATAACAAAGTTTAACAAAGCCTTTCTTAGCCCTATGGACCATATACTTAAGATAAAATGTCTACCAGTTGAGGAGTATAAGTGTATTCTAAGTGATGAAGTTTATTGTAACCTAAAATAACAAGAAGCATGGAGCATTTGGGGACCCTTGTTATTGAAAATGATAATAGGTAATGTTCTTGGTTGTTACCTTGATTTTTCTTTAGAAAGAGCAAAGCCGTCATTTGGGCTCCTGGCCCTCTGAAGGAGATGGTTGTCTCTATTACTGTGCATTTGTTTAGCACTCCATGCTGTCAAAGCCCTTTCTTTGTTCACCTGCTGGACGTGTCAGATGTATTAATGAGATGATTTTAGTCACAATACATTGGTTTCTTTCCATTTTTGGATCATGATTAGTGTTAAAGGTGGAATTACAAACACGGTCTGGGTATAGGATCACAACAATATCTCTAATTAGTGGAGCACCTTGACAAACAAACACTTCAAACACAAAGAAAGCTGTATTTTGTGATACTCTTCAGTTTACTGAAACTCTCTTAGAAAGATTTTCCCAGGGAAACTGATTCCTTTTTAGGTTTCATTTTGTCAATTTGCATTTGGTTTTTAATATGCTTTGCTTTAATTTATGAAGTCTAAAGTGAATGAATGATGAATAAATATGTTTTCTTATGCATTTTAACCCACACATAAGTGTATAAGTCTTCATATGCATATGCATACGTGCACATACACATGCACCTCTTTTGTTTTGGCCCTGGCCCTTCAAACTCAGGTAACCCACCTGCATGCCCCATATCCTGAAATTGTGGAAAAGCTTAGAGGATTCTTGATATTCCAGTTGTTGCCTAGGCCTTCTACTTGCCTGCTCCTCATTTGATCTTGATGGTGGCTCTTCTCTCCCTCATTCTGTACCCTGCCTCCATACGTTTCTCTGGCCACCTTTGGTTTTGCCATTTTTCCTTCTAGATGTTCCTCTCACTTCTGCATTTTTGCATGTTGTGGCTTTCACAAAATGCTCTAATCTCTGTGCCTCTCTTGATTTTGGTGCTTTTGTTGCCTCATAAAAGAAACTCCCTATTCTAGCATTTCTCGTTGAACGAGATCCTGGTGTGAGAAAATAAGAGGAATAAAGGGTGGAAAAATATGGCATTTTACTTTGTGTGAAATTTATATTTAATCATTGAGAAAATATTGAGTTGAATGACCGTATGCAGTGCTCTCCTCCTCCCTCCAGTCCAAGTCACAATCCTCTTTTGTCTGAACTACTGCAATACTACTGTCCTCTGAGCTTTAACCCTTGTTCCCTACAATTCATGCACCATGGAATCCATGCAATGGAATGACCTTGTAACGTATAAATCAGATAATGCCATTCATCTGGGTCAAAACTCTCTCCAGAGAAATTGGATAAAAGTGAATTCTTGACCATGGTCTATGAGGCTCTGTATTATATTTCCCCTGCCTACCTCTCTGCCTTATCTCTGCTTCCTCTGCTTCAGCCTCATTGGCCTTCTTGCTGCTTCACAAAAACACTACACTCTTTCACACTTGAAGGCTTTGCACTGGCTTTTTCCTCTTTCTGTAATACCCTGATCCTTGATCACACAAACTGATTTTTTCTTGTCATTCAGATTTCAAGTCGGATATCACCTCTTTGGAGAGTTTGCTGGCCTCGCAATTGGATGTGTCTCCCAGCACTCTCTACCATATGATACTGTTTTATTTTCATTATATGTTCTTGCTCATTCATATATTTAGCTGTTTACTATCTGTCTTCCCACCGTTAGCATGTGAATTCCATAAAAGCAGGGATCTGGTCTGGCTTGTTCATTTCTGAAAACCCAGCAACTAGAACAATGCCTGGCATTCAGTGGAACTGCATAAATATATGTTTATTAATATTTTGGCCTTTGAGTGAAAGCTAGAGTATATATATACTTAACATATATTAAGTAAGTATATTAACACACTTAACATATATTCATTCATTACTTCTCGCGATGGCCTTGTCAGATAAATGACATAATCTGCATTGTATAGATGAAAAAACTAAGGTCCAAAGTGTAAAGTGACACACATATATAGGAAGCGGTGATGCTAGTATTGGACCCGAAGTCTATATGATGCTGTATCCGTCTTCTGTTGCTGCATAATGAATTACCGCAAGCTTCATAACTTAAAACAACACTCATTTATTATCTCACAATTTCTAAAGTTTAAATATCCAGGCATGGCTTTCCTGAGTTCTCTGCTCAGGGTGACACAAAGCTGCAATCAAGGTACCAGTTCGATTGTATTCTAGTCTGGAGGCTTGCCTAGGGAAGGAGCCACTTCCAAGCTCTCTCAGATTGTTGGAAGAATTTATTGTGGCCATAGAGTTTGTGGCAGCATGCTTCTTCCTATCTAACAGTGGAGAGACTGGATTCCTGGTATGAGAAAATAAGATAGATAAAGGGTCCATTATAAAGGTCTGCTCTTTTAGTCTCTGACTTCCAGGAAGGTCTAGATCCTCTTTTAAAGGATTCACCAGATTAGATCCAGCCCACCCAATATAACATCCGTTTTTGATTAACTAAAATGCAATGGATTAGGGACCTTAATTATATCTGCAAAACAGGTCCTACCCAAACTCAAGAGAAGGAGATTATACAGGGTTGTGAGACATTAGGGGTCATCTTAAAATTTTGCCTGTCGTATGGTACAAAAGATCTTTCTATTTCTACTCTAATCTACTTTGGGTAGAAGATTGGGTGCAAGATCCTTTAGAGTTTTAAGATACTGTAATTGTATAAATACATAGAAGAAGGAATAACTCCCAAGTGAATAAATTGTTAAGAAGAGATTACCCAAACCATTGCACTTGAAAATGCAATGCAAATCACAAGAAATAAACAGAGCATTGTATGTGATCAAATCTGAGATTGACCCTCATCTCTCATGTTGGATCACAGTTTGCTTTGCAATTCTCTGCTCCTCTTGGCCATCCCATTTTGTCATTCAGAATGGAGACACTCCACTTGAAAGGTGAACTCATGTTGTCAGATATGTGCCTTACTGAAGCAAAAAGATGGCTTTCTATGGAAAGTGAACAGATGTAACCAGGCAGCTGCATTAAAGACATGCCTTTGAATTGCCTTTTGGAATTTCCTGCTTTGGAAACTAGGAAAAAATGGATAAGCCATGTCTTGAGAGTCTGCATGTATTCATTCACTGAACTTCTACAGAGCATCTCTCAGGTGCTAAACTCCATGGAGCCTAGGAACAGAGGTCCAAAGATGCACAGAAGAGGGTTCCTACCTCAAGGAGCTTACAGTTTAATGGAACAAATAGACCAACAAGCTGAGTAGTATAAAGATGTGTGTAGGCTTAGGCATTGGAGTGGGGGTAGAGAGCAACCACTTCTGCCATGCTGAGAAAGAGTTTCCAGAGGACAAGCCAGGTCATGAAAGATGCATAGGTGCTCACTTTATAGTTTAAAAGGGCAGGATCTTAAAAGACATTCTAATAAGGGGGAACAGCATGTGCAAAGGAATAAAGACCTGAAAGGGCATAGCATTTGGGGTACTGTGTAAGATTCAGAGGGGAGAGCAGAGAGTGAGTGTGGGGGACAGGAGAACTGAGGTGAGAAAGCTAGTTACAGTGTGTGAGTAGCACTGTTGTTGTGGTATAGGTGGCCTCATTCAGAGGAAGGCACCCCGATCAGACTGGAGGATATGATGTGGTCTGTCATCATATGGCTCTATAAGCAATATATACTAATGTCAGTAGCATAGTGCAGACCCTACCAAAGGGCCCCCTATAAAGGGTATATGATGTCTAGGACTTTCCCCTATATAGTTAGTCAGTGAAAACCTGAGAAACTCCTACTGCTGCTTTTGTGTTTCATATTATTTTAATGGAAATTATGCATTTGCTTAATCCTAAATAACCAACATTGAATTTTATGACATAGGAGTGTATGGGAAATTAAAAATCCATTTTGTTTTTCTTCATTTTTTTTACCCAATGAAGACCAAAAAATGTATCTTTTAAAACTTTTAATATTAAATGTCTTTCAGAATGACTATTTTTATATTAATGTGAAGCATATGAAATTGGTGCAAAGAACTGTAAGAACAAACAAGTCTCTTGTATGCCTTTCAGTTCTCACGAGGTGCTTCTGATGGTAGTGCTGTAAGTGAAGTGCCCATCTCGTGTTTAGAGTGTGGGTTTCCAATGATGCTAGAACAAAACCCAAGAGGCCAATTGCCTTGGTATATGTGTGTACATTTGCAGGGGTGGGAGACGATAGCAGAAAAGTTGAAAGTAAACTCAAAATACATAGCTTCATCATTTATAAGTAATATTCCACAAGGATTACTTTTATTTTTATTTCTTAAATAATAATTCATAATTTACAGATAACTTTAAAATCTGATAAGGTCAGGATTTGGAGCTAGCCAGATCTGGATTCAAAGCCAGATTCACCACTTCCTAGCTATGTTTATTTGTAGATTTGAGTGAGTGGCTCACCTTCTACCAATTTCACTTTCCTTATTTCTAAAACAGGAACACAGTAATTAAATTATCTTGAAGTTTTACTAAATAAATTATGTGAGGGAACAAATATAAAATGTGTAACATCGGGAGCAAGAAATAGAGATTGGGTCATGGAAAAGACAGCATGTAGAGTGGTAGGAGCACACATTTTGGAGTTATTCCTTCACTCAATAAGCACTGATTGAGTGAGACGTTCAGTAAGTGCCAGGTATTGGGTTAGGTTCTAGAGGCACAATGATGAATAAGGTTACTTGATCTGTCTTAGAGCTTGACCCTGGTGATTAGAGCACCATCTCTGCCACTTACTAGCTGTGTAAGCTTGGTAAGAGCCATTTCTTCTCTCTGATCTTTGGTTTGCACATGTGTAAAGTGGGAATAATAATACCTGCCTTGCAGTATTCTTGTGAGGTTCAATGAAACAATGTATGTAAAATATTACGCTTATGGTAGTTGCACAGTAAAACAAGGCAATAGATCATCATTGTCATCATCATCAGAATCTCATTATTGCCAAAAGAAGTTTAAAGTAGTTGGTTCACTGAGAGATATTTGGAGCTGAAACTACAGACTCTTCTGGATTTAAGCGAGTTCTGTGGATTTTCTAATGCCTTTTCTGGTGTTGCAGCACATTGAGTCCCCACCTCCCCAACCCTGCCTTCAGCCCATTTTAGCTCGGGAGATAAACATTAACTTCAACATTATAAGACCATTTAATTGTAGCTCTTGCAGAAGCTTAATCCAGAATCTGTTCCAACCTCCTTAACTGACCAGTGAAAGCAGAGACCGGTTATTGCCATTCAGGAGCAGAGCCCAGCTTTTCTGACTCCAAGTTGAATGCTCCTTCTACCTTCCCACTGCTGCTTACAGAATGAAGGAGCAGTGAGGCAAATGTACCTTCAAACTGCACATAACATAAAGCAACTTGTCTCCTAAATGTAACTGAGAGTGGACAGATGGCAAAAAAGAAGGACTGCTTTATAAAGGTAATTTTGTCATCAATATTATTGTGGATGACAACCTTAGTTTTGTAGGTCTTGTGTTGGGAAAGTCAACGTGTAGCCGGGTTTTTTTTTTCTGTATAGTTATTGGGTTCTATGACACAACAAAAGTCTGGTTTATGGTTAGCTGGTTTATATTTTCTCCTGCATATTTTACTTTGATCTTTACTTGTAGAATAGCACCATGGAAATACAAAGGTTCTGGAGCCAGTGATAGAGCTAGTGTTAAATCCCAATTCTGTCATTTATTATCTATGTAAGTGACTAGAGGCATGAGGCATGCCACTTGACCTCTCTGAACCTCAGTTTCCTCATAAGTAAAAGGATGGTAATAATAGTCTTTATACTGCAGGTTTGTTGTGAGGATTCAGTGAGTTAATCTGTATAAGATGCTTAGAATAGTTCCTGATACCTAGTATGTACTCAGTAAATATAAGCTATGTAAATATTATTTTACAATATTACATATTGTAATATACGTTCAAAACCTTATCAGTTGGCAGTTGCTACCATCTTAAATTGTATGCAAATATTGAGAAGCCTGAGACATTTAAAATAATTTGCTATGGTATCACCTTATACTTGGATGACACATTAACTTTCTAATCTTTTAACATATTAATAAATATTGATTGAGAGCTTGTTCTGTGCCAGGCACTGTTTTATCCCAATGAAAGAAGCAGGATCAGTATAAGTATCTCCATCTGAAAAAGGAAAAAGCACATGTACATAGATATTAGAGTATTTGCTTCATGCCATGTTGCTTGTTAGGAATTCAGGTGGACTGGAGCTCAGATCTTTTGAGTTTTTACTCAAAGCTCTTCCAGCTTTATTCTGCTATTGTGTCTGGTGCAATGGGCCTGGCCAGGGGCATGCTGAGTGAGTAACAGGAATGCTCCTTTAAGAGGCAGTGCTGTGTACTTAAAGAGGAGGCTGATTTTTTTTTTTTTAAAGGTGGCCAGGAGGCACCAAGAGCTAAAGGAGAGTCCAAAATCCAAAGTTCAGGAGAGAAACAGAGTTCAGAGCAGCTGGGAGCAGGCAGGTATCAGGAGCCCACTGAAGGAGCATAGCAAGGTGCAGCCAAGCACTCTTACAGATGGCCTGGCTGACTTGAGTGGGCTTCCTGTCTGTGTGGCAGTTTTTGTCCTGGGGCATCGTCAATGCAGTGCTGGGCTTCTGTTCCAGCAAGGCTCTTTTTTTTCCTTGAGATGTTTCTCTGCATGAAGGCAAATCTTTTCTCTTAAAAGGGTGTCTATTGTCTTGATTGTGATAATATACGCTAGCATCATTGTAAATCAATAAAGCTTGTTGTAACAGGTAGTCAGGTAAGTGCAGGAACTTCAAAGAACTTTGGCAGAAATGATGCTTGTGGATGAAATTTAGTGTGGGAAGTGGAGAAGACAGCAAAAATGAAAATGGGCTCTCCTTTTTGTACCAAGATGGCACTCCTGACCCCTGGTCATTCCTTCTCAGCCACAAAGATGGATTTGCACTAGTCTAGCCACATTTTCTCCTTGACTCTTCTTGTGACCAACAATGCCATTTGCCAGATGATTCAATGGGTGAGAGGAGAGCATGGGACTGTGACATGGCCAAGTTAACTGACCCTAACTGACCCATGTGGGAACTGGACTGATAGCTTTCACATAAGGCTTCCAGAATCTCATTTCTTATAAACTATAGCATTAAACAAAAGGTTATGTAAACAGATCAAAACCAATTGACTTTGGAGTAAAAAAATGGCATTCGTTCTGACTTGTAATCCTCATCCATTTTTTTAGACAGATGTCTGGGATTAGGAGTTTGAATGAAGACTTAATTTGAAAATGACAAGGCACTCATATTGACAACAGGAGGACTTTGGTACCTATAAATTGCTGGTGAGAATGTACTATTGACTCTGAGCAGGCAACTTTAAACGTTAAGAGTTTAAGGAGTAAAGGGCTGAATAGCCCCTAAATCAGAGTCTCCAAATCTCAAGATCCTCATTATGATCTACCACCTCCACTGAAGAAAAATACTAGCTTTAAAGAACTCCTTGAATTTCTTAATGTATAAAATTTTTTTCCAGGTTGAAAGTTCTTTTACATTTCTGTGCTTCAAATCTATGGAAGTATAAGAATCAAAGTTAGACATAAAGTCGTGAGTAAAGTTCAAGTTCCACATTTTGCTGCAGATAACGAGTCGAACATCTGACAATGCTGCTTTGCAGTTACCTCTGGCTCTTTCCTAGTGACATTGTTAGTATTAGTGCTAACAAAAGTGCCAGCACCATTTTTAGGTTTTCTGTGGTGTTAGCGTCTATCCCTCATCACCCCCCTCCTCCTCTTCCCACCCACTGACTTGCAAGGGTATAGCCTGTTGTTGTAATACACTTGTTCTTCCATTTCTATAAAGAATTTTTCTCCTTTCCTTCTCTCTATTGTCTCTGGATGTAGCCTGATTTTCACAGTAAGGCTCCCACCTTCTTTCAGTTGCAGAATGACCTTGGAATCTTTTGCTGGGGGAGAATCGCTCTCTTGCCTTCTAGCTAGTAATTAGTGTCAGATGATGCAAACTGCATGGGTTACAAATACAGCTAGGAAAGGTGAGACGTGCCTATTGGTTGAAAATATTCACATCATGGAATTGTTGGAAAACTTGAGTATTGAGCCCTTGTATATTACATATATAGTATGAATATATATATATATAATTTGTAATAAGATGTGGATGGAGTGCAACTCCTCACTCTCCCATTTTGGAGCTGAGTTTCTTTACACTGCAGTATTCGTTTTGATAACCGTGCAGAGACAGATGGCATTTTGTCTGCCTTCCAGAACAGAGGAATAGTTTGCCTAGCTATAGCTAGTATAATGAGAAGCCGTGTAAGTTGAAGATGAGGTAAAACCAGAGCATCTGTCAGTCCTCACGTGCCAGATTGGAGATGCTGCAGACGAACTAATATTTCAACAAAAAGTTGAAGCGAGTATAGATTTGTGACCAAAATGATTGCATTTGATAACAATGCCATAGCAGATGTCCTAGAGTTCATGCTTGGTTTTTATTACTGCTCTGTGAGTGTTTTTGGAAGCGAGACCTACCAGCACAGCTTGTATGGTGCATGTTCATTATAAAATTTTATTTTACAGAAGACAATGAGATGGAAAATTTGTAGCTAATTTGGTACTTTCCTACTTTATCATGTTTCTTTACTTATTATTTGGGAAAAGGTTCTATTCTTGTTTGATTTACATTGGCGTGTTCTAGCACAATAAAAGAATATCGTGTTAATTTGAGGTAGAGAATGAAAACCCAAATGAATGTCCATTATCTAATATTATGTTTTCAGTATGGACCATAGGAAGATACGTTTTAACCTATCTGGGGTCCTCCTTTTCATCTATTTTCTCTTATTTTTTTTTTTTGTTATTTGAGGGTAATTTTTAAAAAGTCCTTTAGGAATCCTGATTAGGAGAGAAACAGGAAATATAAGTATTTCAAAACATGTAATACATGATAAATATATACAAAGTTTATTTGTCAATTTAAAAATTAATTAATTTTTAAAAAAGAAAGAAAAGAAACAGGAGAACAATGGTTTGCTTGCTAACATCTTTCTTCAATAGTTAGATTAGTAGTTAGTATTTCCTCAAGAAAGTAATTGCTTTAGACTTCGATGGTTTAAGTTCTTTATATATTGTGAAGAATGTGCTTCTAAGTGTGCATGATGCTTGTTTGGCCTCAGTGCTATATAAAGCAGCGTTAATGTGACTCAATTAAAGAAAGTCATGGGCTCAGAACCCAAATCCCACCACATGTGCCTTATATGAAGGACAACTTCTCTGGGTTTTAGTGGAATGGGAAATAGCTATATAACCTGATTGCCTTAAAACATACCCTTATTGGGAGAAGGCAATTATTTTCAAAGGTTGATGTATGTTAATAAAAGATTACATATAATAGTCAAAATGTTATAGCATCGAGTTTACACGCAGAAAGACAGTCCAATTACATACGAAAATACATCCTATTACAGAAGCTGTTAGGACGATTTCTCTGCCATGTCTTGTAAGCAAATCGTAGTTGAGGACAAGTGTTCCTGTCTCCCTGCAACTCAATGGCTCTTGGGAAACATATGGTTTTACTTCTGGAACTCCTCTTTTTGCTTCCCTTCAAGGTCTTAACTCAGATTATTCCATTTCCTAGCAGTTTGTGGTGTTGGAGGCTTTGGGTTACATGGAAACCAGTAGCATGGTTTTGGGTTTGCCTGCATGGGTTGATATCTGCAGTTGTTTTGTAGAGCGCTAAACCACACTCCTGGCAAGTGTCAGTTTGAATTAAAAATGTTGATATAGTAACACACTAGTGTGTTAAAATAGATATGTGTGTAATTAAATAAACATGCCTAGCCGAAAGAAGAGAAAGAACCTATTCAATTTACTCTCATCTACTTAAAGGTAATCTTGCTTGTCAGCTGTCCTTATATTGCTTGTTTTCTCAATGCTCTTTTTAAAAACAGTTTTCTTATTTTTAAAGGGAATTGAATTTCATATTTTTAAAACATTAAATCTATTATAAATAATTATCAGATAATCTAATGTTCTGAATGGCATATCTCAGATATTAGGCTTCTGAGATTTTAGATAGATTAAAATGTTTTAAGAAATGTGTACATCGTATTGCAGAAAATTTTAATTAGCATGCTGCAGAGAATTTTCTCGTGCATCCCCCTGAATCTGATCAGATCACTTCCTTGCTTACAAACTTTCAAAGTTCTAGAAGAGAAGCATCTTTGTATGACATTCAAGGTCTTTCATATGTCTTAAGATCCAGTCCTGTCTCCCATTGCTCTCCCTACCCCTTTCTCACACTGAGCTCTAACCCTCAAAACCCAAGAAGACATTTATACAGCCAACAGACACATGAAAAAATGCTCATCATCCCTGGCCATCAGAGAAATGCAAATCAAAACCACAATGAGATACCATCTCACACCAGCTAGAATGGCGATCATTAAAAAGTCAGGAAACAACAGGTGCTGGAGAGGATGTGGAGAAATAGGAACACTTTTACACTGTTGGTGGGACTGTAAATTAGATCAACCATTGTGGAAGACAGGGTGGCGATTCCTCAAGGATCTAGAACTAGAAATACCATTTGACCCAGCAATCCCATTACTGGGTATATACCCAAAGGGTTATAAATCATGCTGTTATAAAGACACATGCACACATATGTTTATTGCAGCACTATTCGCAATAGTAAAGACTTGGAAGCAAGCCAAATGTCCATCAATGATAGACTGAATTAAGAAAATGTGGCACATATACACCATGGAATACTATGCAGCCATAAAAAAGAATGAGTTCATGTCCTTTGTAGGGACATGGATGAAGCTGGAAACCATCATTCTCAGCAAACTATCACAAGGACAAAAAACCAAACACCACATGTTCTCACTCATAGGTGGGAATTGAACAATGAAAACACATGGACACAGGAAGGGGAACATCACACACTAGGGCCTGTCATGGGGTGGGGGGAGGGGGGAGGGATAGCATTAGGAGATATACCTAATGTAAATGATGAGTTAATGGGTGCAGCACACCAACATGACACATGTATACCTATGTAACAAACCTGCATGTTGTGCACATGTACCCTAGAACTTAAATTATAATAAAAAAATAAATAAAACAAAACAAAACAAAACCCAAGTGACACCAAGGCTTCCTTGTGCTACCGTGCCTTGGCACATGCTGTAGCTTCCGAGTAAAATCCCCTTTTTACTGCCCACCTTCTGTTTCCTCTTTTAATTGTCCCTACCAGGCATGACATTCATATTCTGACACTAAAATTCTTGAAACTGCCAAATAGGTATGCAATAATAATAACTCTTGCAAGCCATTCTACAAGCTCATGGTACATATATGCCTATGGCTCTCATTCTTTCCCATTAATTGCTCAAGTTCCTACATGCTCATTGGCAGGAAATACAGTATCTCTCTCGACAGTCTTCTCCTACCCCTGTGACATTTCGAGGAACTCTAAGTCTTCACACAGTTCAGAGAGGATGGGCCTCTGGGCTTCTCCACCTAAATAAAGGAGAAATTGGAATATAAGTTCTCTCTCGCTATTGCCATACAGGGATGCTTTGGAAAACTGGCAACATTTGAAGGCTTCAACATGATTTTTCTTGTACCTCTCACACTTTCATATATATATATTTTTTTTCAAAGAACCCCCAATAGATTCAATCACCTCTGACACTGGAAGAAAGAAAAAGACACATTTGATTTCCATGGGTTACCCTCTACCTTAGAATTTTAAAAAGGAAGAATTCAAGTGACAAAGTATTTGTATCTTAATAATAATCAAGATCTTACATTTGTATAACACTTTCAAAATACTTCCATATAATATCAATAGAGGAGATAGGGTTGCTGCTTGCTATAGATGAAAAAAATTGAGGTTTAGAGAAGTGAAGCAGTGGGCTTAAAATGACAAAGCAAGCTAAGTCATAGATTTTGGACCAGAGCCTGTTTTTGACTCTGGCTTTCCTTGAGATTTCTTTGGCTTCTGCATTTTGGATCTCATTTGTTCTGGCTGTTTGGTTCCTGCCTGACCTTTCTTTCAAGGCATGGGTCCATACAATGGGCTTTCCATTCTTTTAGCTACCTGAAAGGGACACCCCATTAGGCCACCCCCTTGAGATCCAACCCTGAACACTGGGACCAGGCCAAAGGCAGGGAAGGAAGACTTTAGATCCCTTTTAGACCACAATTCTTTCTCCTGTATGACTTTTCATGTTAATGTCAAATAAGCATCATTTTTCTTTTTTCTCACTTTTACTTTAACTGACCACCTTAGCCCAAGATAGGCACTGTATCCACCCACATGTGAGTGTGCAACTAGAAACTATAGTGACTTTTCTATGTCCATATGGACAATTACTTTTCTCTGGAACTCATCATTGGAATGATTTTTGTCATTGTGCTACTTATTAAGTAATAAAATATACTAATTTAAAATAAGAAATCAGATGACAATTTGTGGAAGAACATCTGAGGAGGGAAGAGAGAAGATTGTACTGAATGTATATTCTATCAAGGTCAACAGTCAGACACTGTTTCTTACAAGATAAACAAATTACTTAGAAACAAAGATGATCCAGGAAAACAAGTGCAGCCTCATTTCATATTCTGATAATTTAATCCTGTACATAATGCTAAACTCAGACTCTACAATAATGCTTATGCAAAATCAGGACTGGTTTGACAAATGAACAATGAAAGAGGAAATTAAATTAAAGATTTAAAGAAATTATTTGAATCCCTTTTTGGTCAAAATGGGCATATTCACATAAAAATTAAGCTCAATGAGTATAAGAAAGTTTATAAATCAGTAACTGGGAAGAATCTTATCACTTCTTCCCTCAAAGTAACTTGTGGAAGCCTAGGATGCTCCTAGGAACACTGTAAGCGATGGAGAATTTAACATAATAATGCATATTTGAACTCAGAGTAATATACTAAGTTACGATGAGTCTTTTTTTCTGGGGGATGGATGAGGTAACCCTGAACTGTGTAGAAAGATGGTGCTACAAGTGAGAGGTCATAGCTACACTTACTCTATGTTACTATCCTTCAAAATCCCTGTGCCTTAATACTGACCAGTGGGCAGTAGTAGAAGAGATTTCCTTATATAGATCAACATTTTAGACAAATATTCAGATGACTCATTTGCATACTGCTGACTTCAGGTAGATTGAATATTTTCCTTGCACCAAGTATGGCTTTTCTACATTTTCTCTATGCTAAATCCTATCTTTAATGATTATTTTTGTTAGTGTCCATTGAAACAAATTAGTCTGTTAGGTCTGGAACAAAGGCTTTAACAGTGTTTCCAACAACAACAAATATGTATCACACACATATTTATACTTGTACTTAAGAATATCAAGTCACCTTTTGGTCTCAGCGACGGCAGGGCTGAGCCAGCGACACCCTGCATTCACTCTCCACTCCCGCTCTCTGGCTGTCCACCCGTTCCACTGCCCACCCCACCACCATGACTGAACAGGCCATCTCCTTCGCCAAGGACTTCTTGGCCAGAAGCCTCCAAGAAATATGGGACTATGTGAAAAGACCAAATCTATGTCTGATTGGTCTACCTGAAAGTGACGGGGAGAATGGAACCAAGTTGGAAAACACTCTGCAGGATATTATCCAGGAGAACTTCCCCAATCTAGCAAGGCAGGCCAACATTCAAATTCAGGAAATACAGAGAATGCCACAAAGATACTCCTCGAGAAGAGCAACTCCAAGACACATAATGGTCAGATTGACCAAAGTTGAAATGAAGGAAAAAATGTTAAGGGCAGCCAGAGAGAAAGGTCGGGTTGCCCACAAAGGGAAGCCCATCAGACTAACAGCTGATCTCTCAGCAGAAACTCTACAAACCAGAAGAGAGTGGGGGCCAATATTCAACATTCTTAAAGAAAAGAATTTTCAACCCAGAATTTCATATCCAGCCAAACTAAGCTTCATAAGTGAAGGAAAAATAAAATCCTTTACAGACAAGCAAATGCTGAGAGATTTTGTCACCACCAGGCCTGCCCTACAAGAGCTCCTGAGGGAAGCACTAAACATGGAAAGGAACAACCGGTACCAGCCACCGCAAAAACATATCAAATTGTAAAGACCATCGAGGCTAGGAAGAAACTGCATCAACTAACGAGCAAAATAACCAGCTAGCATCATAATGACAGGATCAAATTCACACATAACAATATTAACCTTACATGTAAATGGGCTACATGCTCCAATTAAAAGACACAGACTGGCAAATTGGATAAAGAGTCAAGAACCATCAGTGTGCTGTATTCAGGAAACCCATCTCATGTGCAGAGACACACATAGGCTCAAAATAAAGGGATGGAGGAAGATCTATCAAGCAAATGGAAAACAAAAAAAGGCAGGGGTTGCAATCCTAGTCTCTGATAAAACAGACTTTAAACCAACAAAGATCAAAAGAGACAAAGAAGGCCATTACATAATGGTAAAGAGATCAATTCAACAAGAAGAGCTAACTGTCCTAAATATATATGCACCCAATACAGGAGCACCCAGATTCATAAAGCAAGTCCTGAGTGACCTACAAAGAGACTTAGACTCCCCCACAATAATAATGGGAGACTTTAACACCCCACTGTCAACATTAGACAGATCAACGAGACAGAAAGATAAAAAGGATATCCAGGAATTGAACTCAGCTCTGCACCAAGCAGACCTAATAGACATCTACAGAGCTCTCCACCCCAAATCAACAGAATTTGGATTAGACAGATTCTTCTCAGCACCACACAACACCTATTCCAAAATTGACCACATAGTTGGAAGTAAAGCACTCCTCAGCAAGTGTAAAAGAACAGAAATTATAACAAACTGTCTCTCAGACCACAGTGCAATCAAACTAGAACTCAGGATTAAGAAACTCACTCAAAACTGCTCAACTACATGGAAACTGAACAACCTGCTCCTGAATGACTACTGGGTACATAACGAAATGAAGGCAGAAATAAAGATATTCTTTGAAACTAATGAGAAAAAAGACACAACATACCAGAATCTCTGGGACACATTCAAAGCAGTGTGTAGAAGGAGATTTATAGCACTAAATGCCCACAAGAGAAAGCAGGAAAGATCTAAAACTGACACCCTAACATCACAATTAAAAGAACTAGAGAAGCAAGGGCAAACACATTCAAAAGCTAGCAGAAGGCAAGAAATAACTAAGATCAGAGCAGACCTGAAGGAGATAGAGACACAAAGAACCCTTCAAAAAATCAATGAATCCAGGAGCTGGTTTTTTGAAAAGATCAACAAAATTGATAGACTGCTAGCAAGACTAATAAAGAAGAAAAGAGAGAAGAATCAAATAGACACAATAAAAAATGATAAAGGGGATATCACCACCAATCCCACAAAAATACAAACTACCATCAGAGAATACTATAAACACCTCTACACAAATAAACTAGAAAATCTAGAAGAAATGGATAAATTCCTCAACACATACACCCTCCCAAGACTAAACCAGGAAGAAGATGAATCTCTGAATAGACCAATAATAGGCTCTGAAATTGAGGCAATAATTAATAGCTTACCAACCAAAAAAAGTCCAGGACCAGACGGATTCACAGCCGAATTCTCCCAGAGGTACAGGAGGAGCTGGTACCATTCCTTCTGAAACTATTCCAATCAATAGAAAAAGAGGGAATCCTCCCTAACTCATTTCATGAGGCCAGCATCATCCTGATACCAAAGCTTGGCAGAGACACAACAAAAAAGAGAATTTTAGACCAATATCCCTGATGAACATCGACGTAAAAATCCTCAATAAAATACTGGCAAACCGAATCCAGCAGCACATCAAAAAGCTTATCCACCATGATCAAGTGGGCTTCATCCCCGGGATGCAAGGCTGCTTCAACATATGCAAATCAATAAACTTAATCCAGCATATAAACAGAAACAAAGACAAAAACCACATGATTATCTCAATAGATGCAGAAACGGCCTTTGACACAATTCAACAACTCTTCATGCTAAAAACGCTCAATAGACTAGCTATTGATGGAACGTATCTCAAAATAATAAGAGCTATTTATGACAAACCCACAGCCAATATCATACTGAATGGGCAAAAACTGGAAGCATTCCCTTTGAAAAGTGGCACAAGACAGGGATGCCCTCTCTCACCACTCCTATTCAACATAGTGTTGGAAGCTCTGGCCAGGGCAGTCAGGCAGGAGAAGGAAATAAAGGGTGTTCAATTAGTAAAAGAGGAAGTCAAATTGTCCCTGTTTACAGATGACATGATTGTATAACTGGAAAACCCCATCATCTCAGTCCAAAGTCTTCTTAAGCTGATAAGCAACTTCAGCAAAGTCTCAGGATACAAAATCAATGTGCAAAAATCACAAGCATTCTTTTTTTTGTTGTTGTTGTTTTTGTTTTTCTTTTTCTTTTTTTTTTTTTTTATTATACTCTAAGTTTTAGGGTACATGTGCACATTGTGCAGGTTAGTTACATATGTATACATGTGCCATGCTGGTGCGCTGCACCCACTAATGTGTCATCTAGCATTAGGTATATCTCCCAATGCTATCCCTCCCCCCTCCCCCGACCCCACCACAGTCCCCAGAGTGTGATATTCCCCTTCCTGTGTCCATGTGATCTCATTGTTCAATTCCCACCTATGAGTGAGAATATGCGGTGTTTGGTTTTTTGTTCTTGCGATAGTTTACTGAGAATGATGGTTTCCAATTTCATCCATGTCCCTACAAAGGATATGAACTCATCATTTTTTATGGCTGCATAGTATTCCATGGTGTATATGTGCCACATTTTCTTAATCCAGTCTATCATTGTTGGACATTTGGGTTGGTTCCAAGTCTTTGCTATGGTGAATAGTGCTGCAATAAACATACGTGTGCATGTGTCTTTATAGCAGCATGATTTATAGCCCTTTGGGTATATACCCAGTAATGGGATGGCTGGGTCAAATGGTATTTCTAGTTCTAGATCCCTGAGGAATCGCCACACTGACTTCCACAATGGTTGCACTAGTTTACAGTCCCACCAACAGTGTAAAAGTGTTCCTATTTCTCCACATCCTCTCCAGCACCTGTTGTTTCCTGACTTTTTAATGATTGCCATTCTAACTGGTGTGAGATGATATCTCATAGTGGTTTTGATTTGCATTTCTCTGATGGCCAGTGATGATGAGCATTTCTTCATGTGTTTTTTGGCTGCATAAATGTCTTCTTTTGAGAAGTGTCTGTTCATGTCCTTTGCCCACTTTTTGATGGGGTTGTTTGTTTTTGTCTTGTAAATTTGTTTGAGTTCATTGTAGATTCTGGATATTAGCCCTTTGTCAGATGAGTAGGTTGCGAAAATTTTCTCCCATGTTGTAGGTTGCCTGTTCACTCTGATGGTAGTTTCTTTTGCTGTGCAGAAGCTCTTTAGTTTAATTAGATCCCATTTGTCAATTTTGGCTTTGGTTGCCATTGCTTTTGGTGTTTTGGATATGAAGTCCTTGCCCATGCCTATGTCCTGAATGGTAATGCCTAGGTTTTCTTCTAGGGTTTTTATGGTTTTAGGTCTAACGTTTAAATCTTTAATCCATCTTGAATTGATTTTTGTATAAGGTGTAAGGAAGGGATCCAGTTTCAGCTTTCTACATATGGCTAGCCAGTTTTCCCAGCACCATTTATTAAACAGGGAATCCTTTCCCCATTGCTTGTTTTTCTCAGGTTTGTCAAAGATCAGATAGTTGTAGATATGCGGCATTATTTCTGAGGGCTCTGTTCTGTTCCATTGATCTATATCTCTGTTTTGGTACCAGTACCATGCTGTTTTGGTTACTGTAGCCTTGTAGTATAGTTTGAAGTCAGGTAGTGTGATGCCTCCAGCTTTGTTCTTTTGGCTTAGGATTGACTTGGCGATGCGGGCTCTTTTTTGGTTCCATATGAACTTTAAAGTAGTTTTTTCCAATTCTGTGAAGAAAGTCATTGGTAGCTTGATGGGGATGGCATTGAATCTGTAAATTACCTTGGGCAGTATGGCCATTTTCACGATATTGATTCTTCCTACCCATGAGCATGGAATGTTCTTCCATTTGTTTGTGTCCTCTTTTATTTCCTTGAGCAGTGGTTTGTAGTTCTCCTTGAAGAGGTCCTTCACATCCCTTGTAAGTTGGATTCCTAGGTATTTTATTCTCTTTGAAGCAATTGTGAATAGGAGTTCACCCATGATTTGGCTCTCTGTTTGTCTGTTGTTGGTGTATAAGAATGCTTGAAATCACAAGCATTCTTATACACCAATAACACACAAACAGAGAGCCAAATCATGGGTGAACTCACATTCACAATTGCTTCAAAGAGAATAAAATACCTAGGAATCCAACTTACAAGGGATGTGAAGGACCTCTTCAAGGAGAACTACAAACCACTGCTCAAGGAAATAAAATAGGACACAAACAAATGGAAGAACATTCCATGCTCATGGGTAGGAAGAATCAATATCGTGAAAATGGCCATACTGCCCAAGGTAATTTATAGATTCAATGCCATCCCCAGCAAGCTACCAAAGACTTTTTCACAGAATTGGAAAAAACTACTTTAAAGTTCATATGGAACCAAAAAAGAGCCCTCATTGCCAAGTCAATCCTAAGCCAAAAGAGCAAAGCTGGAGGCATCATGCTACCTGACTTCAAACTATACTACAAGGCTACACTAACCAAAACAGCAGGGTACTGGTACCAAAACAGAGATATAGATCAATGGAACAGAACAGAGCCCTCAGAAATAATGCCACACATCTACAACTATCTCATCTTTGACAAACCTGAGAAAAACAAGCAATGGGGAAAGGATTCCCTATTTAATAAATGGTGCTGGGAAAACTGGCTAGCCATATGTAGAAAGCTGAAACTGGATCCTTTCCTTACACCTTATACAAAAATTCATTCAAGATGGATTAAAGACTTAAATGTTAGACCTAACACCATAAAAACCCTAGAAGGAAACCTATGCAATACCATTCAGGACATAGGCATGGGCAAGGACTTCATGTCTAAAACACCAAAAGCAATGGCAACAAAAGCCAAAATTGACAAGTGGGATTTAATTCAACTAAAGAGCTTCTGCACAGCAAAAGAAACTAGCATCAGAGTGAACAGGCAACCTACAGAATGGGAGAGAATTTTTGCAGTCTACTCGTTTGACAAAGGGCTAATATCCAGAATCTACAAAGAGCTCAAACAAATTTACAAGAAAAAAACAAACAACCCCATCAACAAGTGGGCAAAGGATATGAACAGACACTTCTCAAAAGAAGACATTTATGCAGCCAAAAGACACATGAAAAAATGCTCATCATCACTGGCCATCAGAGAAATGCAAATCAAAACCACAGTGAGATACCATCTCACACCAGTTAGAATGGCAATCATTAAAAAGTCAGGAAACAACAGGTGCTGGAAAGGATGTGGAGAAATAGGAACACTTTTACACTGTTGGTGGGACTGTAAACTAGTTCAACCATTGTGGAAGTCAGTGTGGTGATTCTTCAGGGATCTAGAACTAGAAATACCATTTGACCCAGCCATCCCATTGCTGGGTATATACCCAAAGGATTATAAACCATGCTGCTATAAAGACACATGCACATGTATGTTTATTGCGGCACTATTCACAATACCAAAGACTTGGAACCAAGCCAAATGTCCAACAATGTTAGACCGGATTAGAAAATGTGGCACATATACACCATGGAATACTATGCAGCCATAAAAAATGATGATTTCATGTCCTTTGTAGGGACATGGATGAAGCTGGAAACCATCATTTTCAGCAAACTGTCTCAAGGACAAAAAACCAAACATCGCATGTTCTCCCTTATAGGTTGGAATTGAACAATGAGAACACATGGACACAGGACTGGGAACATCACACACTGGGGCCTGTTGTGGGGTATGGGGAGGGGGGAGGGATAGCATTAGGAGATATACTTAATGTTAAATGACGAGTTAATGGGTGCAGCACACCAACATGGTACATGTATACATAGGTAACAAACCTGCACGTTGTGGACATGTACCCTAAAACTTTAAGTATAATAAAAAATAAATAAATAAATAAATAAAAATAAAGTAATAGGAACAAAAATAAAAATTAGATATAATTAAAGAAAACTTTTCTCAATTAAATAGTGAGCTTGGCCTACAAGTATCCCTTTATTCTTAAAGATCAAATATTTCACTACAATATGTTTATTTGTCATTTCAAATATAAAAGAATATTTTGTAAGTGTTCTATCAGGAAGTAATATAGTTTACTAATAAAAGAGCAAAAATAAGGCTAATCTGAGACATTTTCTCTGTAACTCTAAACATTAAAGAAAGTCTATAGAGTGTTATTAATAAAAACATTGTATTATAATTTAAGAATTAAAAAAAGAATATCAAGTCATGAAAATCTGTACAATCTGCAAATCAATGGAGAACCATAGGATGTACATATATTTCATGTAAATTGTTACATACTTAATGATTACTTCTGTAATCTCATCATTCAAAAACTGAAAAAAGAAAAAAATGGTTACAGGCATATTTTCATGTCAAAAAACATCAGCATCTTTTTTATTGGCTGCTTTGTACTATGAGATGTAGCAGCTGTACGTTAACTTATTTAACCTGTTCTTATTGAGGTACATTTGGATTTCTTCCAGTTTTTCACTATTACAAATAGTGCTACAATAAACATTCATATAAACACTGGTTTTTTGTGTGTGCATTTTTAAAAAACTTTAATTTTAGATTTGAGGGCACATGTGAAGGTTTGTTACATAGGTACACTCATGTCATGGGGGTTTGTTGTACATATTATTTCATCACCCAGGTATTAAGCCCAGTACCCAATCTTTTCAGCTCCTCTTCCTCCTCTCACCCTCTACCCTCAAGTAGGCCCCAGTGTTTGTAGTTTCCTTCTTTGTGTTCATAAGTTCTTATTATTTAGCTCCCACTTATAAGAGAAAATGTGGGTTTTGGCTTTCTGTTCCTCTGTTAGTTTGCTAAGGATAATAGCCTCCAGCTCCATCCATGTTCTCGCAAAGGGTATGATCTTGTTCTTTTTTATGGCTGCATAGTATTACATGGTGTATAGGTACTACATTTTCTTTATCGAATCTGCCATTGATGGGCATTTAGGTTGATTCCATGTCCTTGCTATTGTGAATAGTGCTGCAGTGAACATTTGCATGCATGTGTCTTTATGGTAAAATCATTTATATTTCTCTGGGTATATACCCAGTAATGGGATTGCTGGGTCGAATGATAATTCTGCCTTTAGCACTTTGAGAAATCACTGTACTGCTTTCCACAATGGTTGAACTAATTTACACTCCCACCAACAGTGTGTAAGTGTTCTCTTCTCTAGGCAACTTTGCCAGAATCTATTAATAATAGCCATTCTAACAGGTGTGAAATAGTATCTCATTGTGGTTTTCATTTGCATTTCTCTAATGAGCAGTGGTATTGAGCCTTTTTTCATATGTTTGTTGGCTGCACATATGTCTTCTTTTGAGAAGTGTCTGTTCATGTCCTTTGCCCACTTTTTAATAAGGTTGTTTGTTTTTCTCTTGTAAATTGGTTATGTTCCTTATAGATGCTGGATATTAGACCTTTGTCAGATTCATAGTTTGCAAAAATTTTTGCCCATTCTGTAGGTTGTCTGTTTGCTCTGTTGATAGTTTCTTTTGCAGTGCAGAAGCTCTTTAGTTAATTAGATTTCATTTGTCACTTTTAAGTTTAATTAGATCTCAGTTGTCAATTTTTGCTTTTGTTGCAATTGTTTTTGGCATCTTTGTCATGAAATCTTTGCCCGTTGCTATGTCCAGGATAGTATTGCCTAGTTTGTCTTCCAGGGTTTTGATAGTTTTGGGTTTTACACTTAAGTCTTGGTTTTTTGAGTCTACATCTTGAGTTGATTTTTGCATATGGTGTAAGGAAGTGGTTCAGCTTCCATCTTCTATGTATGGCTAGCTGGTTATCCCAGCACCATTTATTGAATAGGGAATCCTTTCTCCATTGCTCATCTTTGTCAGCTTTGTCAAAGATCAGGTGGTCGTAGATGGGTGGCCTTATTTCTGGGCTCTCTCTCCTGTTCAATTGGTCTATGTGCCTGTTTTTGTAGCAGTACTATGCTGTTTTGCTTACTGAGGCCTTGTAGTATAGTTTGAAGTCAGGTAACATGATGTCTCCAGCTTTCCCCTTTTTGCTTAGGATTGCCTTGGCCATTTGGGCAGTTTTGGTTCCATATGAATTTTAAAATAGTTTTTTTCTAGTTCTGTGAAGAATGTTATTGGTAGCTTGAGACAAATAGCATTGAATCTGTAAATTGCTTTGGGCAGTATGGCTATTTTAATAATATTCATTCTTCCTATCCATGAGCATGCGATGTTTTCCCATTTGTTGTGTCTTCTCTGTTTTCTTTCAGCAGTGTTTTGTAATTCTCATTGTAAACATCTTTCACCTCCCTGGTTAGCTGTATTCCTAAATAGTTTATTACTTTTTTTACTATAAGTTCTAGAATACATGTGCAGAATGTGCAGGTTTATTACATAGGTATACACGTGCCATGGTGATTTGCTGCACGCATCAACCCGTCATCTATATTAGGTATTTATTCTAATGCTATCCCTCTCTTAGCCCCCTACCCCCTGACAGGCCCCAGTGTGTGATGTTCCCCTCCTTGTGTCCATGTGTTCTCATTGTTCAACTCCCACTTATGAGTGAGAACATGTGGTGTTTGGTTTTCTGTTCCTGTGTTAGTTTGCTGAGAATGATGGTTTCCAGCTTCATCCATGTCCCTGCAATGGACATAAGCTCATCCTTTTTTAGGGCTGCATAGTATTTCATGGTGTATATGTGCCCTATTTTCTTTATCCAGTCTATTATTGATAGGCATTTGGGTTGGTTCCAAGTCTTTGCTATTGTAAATAGTGCTGCAATAAACATACGTGTGCATGTGTCTTTATAGCAGCATGATTTATAAACCTTTGGGTATATACCCAGTAATGGGATTGCTGGGTCAAATGGTATTTCTGGTTCTAGATCCTTGAGGAATGGCCACACTGTCTTCCACAATAGCTGAACTAGTTTACACTCCCACCAACAGTAAAAGCATTCCTGTTTCTCCACATCCTCTCCAGGATCTGTTGTTTCCTGACATTTTAATAATCACCATTCTAAATGGTGTGAGATGGTATCTCATTGAGGTTTTGATTTGCGTTTCTCTAATGACCAGTGTTGATGAGCTTTTTTTCATATGTTTGTTAGCCACATGATTGTCTTCTTTTGAGAAGTGTCTGTTCATATCCTTTGCCCACTTTTTGATGGGGTTGTTTTTTTCTTGTAAATTTGTTTAACTTCCTTGTAGATTCTGGATATTAGTCCTTTGTCAGATGGATAGATTACAAAAATTTTCTCCCATTCTGTAGGTTGCCTATTCACTCTGATGATAGTTTCTTTTGCTGAGCAGAAGCTCTTTAGTTTAATTAGATTCCATTTGTCAATTTTGGCTTTTGTTGCCATTGCTTTTGGTGTTTTACTCATGAAATCTTTGCCCATGCTTATGTCCTGAATGGTATTGCCTAGGTTTTCTTCTAGGGTTTTTATGGTTTTAGGTTTCATGTTTAAGTCTTTAACCCATCTTGAGTTAACTTTTGTATAAGGTATAAGGAAGGGGTCCAGTTTCAGTTTCCTGCATATGGCTAGCCAGTTTTCCCAACACCATTTATTAAATAGGGAATCCTTTCCCCATTTCTTGTTTTTTCAGGTTTGTCAAAGATCAGATGGTTATAGATGTGTGGCATTATTTCTGAGGCCTCTGTTCTGTTCCATTGATCTATATCTCTGTTTTGGTACCAGTATCATGCTGTTTTGGTTACTGTAGCCTTGTAGTATAGTTTGAAGTCAGGTAGTGTGATGCCTCCAGCTTTGTTCTTTTTGCTTAGGATTGTCTTGGCTATATGGGCTCTTTTTTGGTTTCATATGAAATTTAAAGTAGTTTTTTCCAATTCTGTGAAGAAAGTCAATGGTAGCTTAATGGGGATAGCATTGAATCTATAAATTACTTTGGGCAGTATGGCCATTTTCACGATACTGATTCTTTCTATCCATGAGTATGGAATGTTTTTCCATTTGTTTGTGTCCTCTCTTATTTAGTTTAGCAGTGGTTTGTAGTTCTCCTTGAAGAGGTCCTTCACATCCCTTGTAAGTTGGATTCCCAGGTATTTCATTCTCTTTGTAGCAATTGTGAATGGGTGTTCACTCATGATTTGGCTTTCTGTTTGTCTGTTATTGGTGTATAGGAATGCTTTGTGATTTTTGCACATTGATTTTGTATCCTGAGATTTTGCTGAAGTTGCTTATCAGCTTAATGAGATTTCGGGCTGAGATGCTGGGGCTTTCTAAATATACAATCATGTCATCTGCAAATAGAGACAATTTGACTTCCTCTCTTCCTGTTTGAATACCCTTTATTTTTTTCTCTTGCCTGATTGCCCTGGCCAGAACTTCCAATACTGTTTGAATAGGAGTTGTGAGAGAGGGCATCCTTGTCTTGTGCTGGTTTTCAAAGGGAATGCTTCCAGCTTTTGCACATTCAGTATGATATTGGCTGCATGTTTGTCATAAATAGCTCTTATTATTTTGAGATACATTCCATCAATAGCTAGTTTATTGAGAGTTTTTAGCATGAAAGAGTGTTGAATTTTATGAAAGGCCTTTTCTGCATCTATTGAGATAATGATGTGGTTTTTGTCATTGGTTTTGTTTATGTGATGTATTACATTTATTGATTTGCGTATGTTGAACCAGCCTTGCATCCCAGGGATGAAGCCAACTTGAGCATGGTGGATAAGCTTTTTGATGTGCTGCTGGATTCGGTTTGCCAGTATTTTATTGAGGATTTTCACATCGATGTTCATCAGGGATATTGGCCTAAAATTATCTCTTTTTTGTTGTGTCTCTGCCAGGTTTGGGTATCAGGATAATGCTGGTCTCATAAAATGAGTGAGGAAGAGTTTCAGAAGGCACAGTACCAGCTCCTCTTTGTACCTCTGGTAGAATATGGCTCTGATTCCATCTGGTCCTGGGGTTTTTTTGGTTGGTAGGCTATTAATTACTGCCTCAATTTCAGAACTTGTTATTGGTCTCTCCAGGGATTCGACTTCTTCCTGGTTTAGTCTTGGGAGAGTGTATGTGTCCAGGAATTTATCCATTTCTTCTAGATTTTCTAGTTTATTTGCATAGAGGTGTTTATAGTATTCTCTGATGGTAGTTTGTATTTCTGTGGGATAAGTGGTGATATGCCTTTTATCATTTTTTATTGTGTCTGTTTGATTCTTCTCTTTTCTTCCTTATTAGTCTGGCTAGTGGTCCATCTATTTTGTTAGTCTTTACAAAAAATCAGCTCCTGAATTCATTGATTATTTGAAGGCTTTTTCATGTCTCTATCCCCTTCAGTTCTGATCTGATCTTAGTTATTTCTTGTCTTCTGCTAGATTTTGAATTAGTTTGCTCTTGCTTCTCTAGTTCTTTTAATTGTAATGTTAGGGTGTCAATTTTAGATCTTTCCCACTTTCTCCTGTGGGCATTTAGTGCTATATATTTTCCTCTAAACACTGCTTTAGCTGTGTCCTGGAGATTCTGGTTCGTTGTGTCTTTGTTCTCATTGGTTTCAAAGAACTTCTTTATTTCTGCCTTAATTTTGTTATTTACCCAGTAGTCATTCAGGAGCAGGTTGTTCAGTTTCCATGTAGTTGTGCTGTTTTGAGTGAGTTTCTTAATCCTGAGTTCTAATTTGATTGCACTGCTGTCTGAGAGACTGTTTGTTATGATTTCCTTCTTTTGCGTTTCCTGAGGAGTGTGTTACTTCCAATTACGTAGTCAATTTTAGCATAAGTGTGATGTGATGCTGAGATATATTCTTTTGATTTGGTGTGGAGAGTTCTGTAGATGTCTATTAGGTCCTCTTGGTCCAGAGCTAAGTTGAAGTCCTGAATATCCTTGTTAATTTTCTGCCCCGTTGATCTTTCCAATATTGACAGTGGGGTGTTAAAGTCTCCCACTATTATTGCATTGGAGTGTATGTCTCTTTGTAGGTCTCTAAGAATTTGCTTTATGAATCTAGGTGCTTCTGTATTGGGTGCATATATATTTAGGATAGTTAGCTCTTCTTGTTGCATCAATTCCTTTGCAATTATGTAATGTCCTTCTTTGTATTTTGTGATCTTTGTTGGTTTAAAGTCTGTTTTATCAGAGACTAGGATTGCAACCTCTGTGTGTGTCTTTGCACATGAGATGGGTATCCTGAATACAGCACACTGATGGGTCTTGGCTGTTTATCCAATTTGCCAGTGTGTGTCTTTTAATTGGGGCACTTAGCCTGTTTACATTTAAGGTTAATGAGTGAATTTGATCCTGTCATTATGATGCTAGCTGGTTATTTTGCCCATTCATTGATGCAGTTTCTTCATAGTATTGATGGTCTTTACAATTATTGCATTATTGCAGTAGCTGGTACCGATTTTTACTTTCCATATTTAGTGCTTCCTTCAGGAGCTCTTGTAGGGCAGGCCTGGTGGTGACAAAATCTCTCAGCATTTGCTTGTCTGTAAAGGATTTTATTTCTCCTTCACTTATGAAGCTTAGTTTGGCTGGTTATGAAATTCTGTGTTGAAAATTCTTTTCTTTGAGAATGTTGAATATTTGCGCCCACTCTCTTCTGGCTTGTTGGGTTTTTGCAGAGATATCAGCTGTTAGTCTGATGGGCTTTCCTTTGTGGGTAACCCAACCTTTATCTCTGGCTGCCCTTAACATTTTTTCCTTCATTTCAACCTTGGTGAATCTGATGATTACATGTCTTGGAGTTGGTCTTCTCGAGGAGTATCTTAGTGGTGTTCTCCGTATTTCCTGAATTTAAATGTTGCCCTGTCTTGCTAGGTTGGGGAAGTTCTCCTGGATAATATCTTGAAGAGTGTTTTCCAACTTGGTTCCATTCTCCCCATCACTTTCAGTTACAACAATCAAACATAGGTTTGGTTTTTTCACATAGTCCCATATTTCTTGGAGGCTTTATTCATTTCTTTTAATTATTTTTTCTCTAATCTTGTCTTCACACTTTGTTTCATTAAGTTGATCTTCAGTCTCTGATATCCTTTCTTCTGCTTCATTGATTTGGCTATTGATACTTGTGTATGCTTCACGAAGTTCTTGTGTTGTATTTTCCAGCTACATCAGGTCATTTATGTTCTTCTCTCAACTGGTTATTCTAGTTAGCAATTCCTCTAACCTTTTTTCAAGGTTCTTAGCTTCCTTGCATTGTGTTAGAACATGCTCCTTTAGCTCAGAGGAGTTTGTTGTTAACCACCTTCTGAAGCCTACCTCTGTCAATTTGTCAAACTCATTCTCCAACCAGTTTTGTTCCTTTGCTGGCAAGGAGTTGTGATCCTTTGGAGAAGAGGCGTTCTGGTTTTTGGAATTTTGAGGCTTTTTGCACTGTTTTTTCCTGACCTTCGTGGATTTATGTATCTTTCATCTTTGTTGTTGGTGACCTTTGGATGGGGTTTTTATGTGGACCTCCTTTTTGTTGATGATGATGCTATTCCTTTCTGTTTGTTAGTTTTCCTTCTCAGTCAGGCCCCTCTGCTGCAGGTCTGCTGGAGTTTGCTGGAGGTCCACTCCAGACCTTCTTTGCCTAGGTATCACCAGCGGAGGCTGCAGAACAGGAAATATTGCTGTCTGTTCCTTCCTCTGGAAGATTCATCCCAGAGGGTCATCTGCCAGGTGCCAGCCACAGCTCTCCTGTACGAGGTGTCTGTCGACCCCTGCTGGGAGGTGTCTCCCAGTCAGGAGGCATGGGGGTCAGGGACCCACTTGAGGAGGCAGTCTGTCCCTTAGCAGACCTTGAGCACTGTGCTGGGAGATCTGCTGCTCTCTTCAGAGCCAGCAGGCAGGAACTTTTAAGTCTGCTGAAGCTGGGCCCACAGCCACTCCTTCCCCCAGGTCCTCTATTCCAGAGAGATGGGAGTTTTATCTATAAGCACCTGACTGGGGCTGCTGCCTTTCTTTCAGAGATGACCTTCCCAGAGAGGAGGAATCTAGAGAGACAGTCTGGCCACAGTGGCTTTGCTGAGCTGTGGTGGGCTCTGCCCATTTTGAACTTCCTGGCAGCTTTGTTTACACTGTGAGGGGAAAACTGCCTAATCAAGCCTCAGTAATGGCAGACACCCCTCCCCCCACCACGCTCGCACATCCCAGGTTGACTTCAGACTGTTGTGCTGGCAGCGAGAATTTCAAGCCAGTGGATCTTAGCTTGCCGGGCTCTGTGGGGGTGGGATCCTCTGAGCTAGACCAGTTTGCTCCCTGGCTTCATCCCTCTTTCCAGAGGAGTGAATGGTTCTGTCTCTCTGACATTCCAGGCGCCACTGGGGTATGAAAAAACAAAACAAAACAAAACAAAAAAACACCTGCAGCTAGCTTGGTGTCTGCCCAAATGGACGCCCAGTTTTGCGCTTGAAACCCAGGCCCCTGGTGGTGTAGGCACCTGAGGGAATCACCTGGTCTGTAGGTTGTGAAAACCATGGGAAAAGTGTGGTATCTGGGCTGGAATGCACAGTCCCTCACGTCTTCTCTTGGCTAGGGGAGGGAGTTCCCAGACCCCTTGTGCTTTCCAGGTGAGGTGACACCCCACCCTGCTTTGGCTCAACCTCCATGAGCTGCACCCACTGTCTAACCAGTCCCAGTGAGATGAGCTGGGTATGTCAGTCAAAAATGCAGAAATCACGCACCTTCTGTGTTGATCTTGCCAGGAGTTGCAGACTGGAGCTATTCCTATTCGGCCGTCTTGCCAGCCACAGGTATTTTATTCTTTTTGTGGCAATTGTGAATGGGATTGACTTTCTTATTTGACTGTGGTTGGTGTATAGGAATGCTAGCGATTTTTGTACATTGAGTTTGTATCCTGAAACTTTGCTGAAGTTGTTTATCAGCTGAAGGAGCTTTTAGGCCAAGGTATGTTTTGATTATCTTAGAGTTGGCCTTGTTCAACTTTGCTAATCTGATAAGGGTGAAATGATATCTCATTGTAATTTTTATTTGTGTTGTTCAAATGTTACTGAAGTTGAATACCCTTTTGTATGCTTAGTGTCGTTTGCTTTTATTTTCTCATTTCAGAAGATACCCTTTGCCATTTTTTCTATTATAACCTATTTTTGTTCTTTTTAAAAATTTTTAGTTTATAAGAGCTTATTGTATATCAAATAATATATTCTTTTCTCTTATCATATGTAGCTGAAAATATTTTCCACAGTTTGTCACTTTTTAAAAAATTAGTTTGAGGTGTTGTTTGACTAAATGTAATTTTTAAATTTAGTTTTTTTATATTCAAATTTTCCAGACCTCAAGTTTATGGTTCTTAATTCTTATGACATGTTAGGAATTTCTTACCCTAAGATTTTTAGAAAAATTCAACTAAAGTATATTTTATAGCCTTTGTGGTATTGCTTTTTTAAATTACATTTTTGATATACCTGACTTCAATTTTGATATAAAAAGGTAGAATTTCAACTAGGAATGTAGCTTTTGATTTCATTCTATACACAAACTAGTGTTAGTAGGGGTTAAATGTTTCTAATCTTAATCTTTCCCCCAAGTTGATATCTTGTTGACCAAATATCAAATATCTTGTTGACCAAAGATGAAATAATATTTCATCTTTTCCCAAGTGATTTTTACCATATACTGAATTACCACATATATTAAGTTCTACTGCTAGATTATATTTAATGAAATACTCATATTTAATTTAGGAGGCTGTGTCACATATAGAAAAAGTATAGCTTTGAGGCCAGATTCACGTAGGTGTATGAAATCATTTTGAAGAGAACTTATCTTTCTTGAGCGTCCACTATTTGCTAAGTACCTTATATATAACTCTATTATTTCCAAGCTGTCTGACCTTTAGTTAAGTACTTATCATTTTCTTTCTTCTTCACCTGTGTAATTTGAACTGTAAACCTATTCCCTAGGGTTTTTCTGGGCTTCATATGAAATACTGTAAGGCAATTCATGCTTTGCACAATAGTGCAGTTCCATAAAAATGACCATGTAAACTGAAAACATGTAAGGTGGTCTCATTGATTATTGAGAAAAATTATTGTTTTGTGTCTTAAAAATTTTGTCAAAATGTCATCACAAACTCTTACTGTTTGTTATAAATGTATAAGGGAATGCAATAAAATTATGAAACTAATATTTACTCATATACTATAATCTAAAACATTAGAAATATTGAAAATTAAAGTGTTTTATATCTTTGTGAAAAATTGTTGTATCGGGAATAGTGTGAATAGTGTTCACCTTGTCTTACAGTAACTTTCAGTATGGATCAAGAATCTTTTCTATACCTTGGTGAGTTGTCATACTCTTTTCCAAGTTTGAATCAGCTTCAGTATCTTATCATTTGCACTGTCAATATTGTGAAATATCTCCAAGAGTTTCTCTAATGTGAAAATTTTCACTAGTGCCATTTCTTCAGGGACCGCCCCATCCTTTTCTTACAATGGCTTTCCTGATTTATGTTGATTAGCTCACCTTCACGAAGTTCCCTCTGGCTTCATATCTAGAGTCTCTTGATTGATGGCAGTGTCATACTTTCCATTGTCAGATAGTTATTCTATAGGTCCGTTTATGTTTGATTCTAATTTCACTTTCTGTGTTATTATTTATTGTTTCATTGCTTCTCTTTGTCTTTCTTGGCCAATTCCCTGTTTCAGTTATCATTCATTTATTTCACGCCATACACAAAATAGTGTTAGTTGGAATTAAATATTTCTAATCTTGATTTTTCTCAAAATTGCCATCTTGTTGATCAGATATCATATATTAAACACTATTTTGTCTTTTCCCAAGTGATTTTTATCATATACTAAATTACCACATATACTAGGCTGTAATTATTGATTGTATTTAATGAAATACTCTAATTTAAGAGGCTGTGTCACATACTGAAAAAAATATAACTTTTATAGATATATATCTATTTCATAAAATGTCATGGATGTGTCACTGAGAGACAAGGGGACAACACAGTTACACATCTTGCCATATGTGTATGAACTGAATAACAGATGATTAGTGACCAATCACTGGCAGACATTGAAAGAAGTGATGAAATAGATCACTAGTCATGATGCACATTGTTATTACATAGTAGATTTGTAGACTGAAGAGCCAGCAGTGAGGTTTGTACTTAATGCAGTTATTCACAGTATACAGTGAGAACTGAAATCTGAACTGTGCTCTTGGGGAGCTAGTGTTCTTTAAATAAACTGTGGAATCTGAAATATATGTATACAGAATTGTGAAAAGTTAAGAACTGGATGCAAAGTATATCCCACAGTCCTTGACACAAAGTAGGTGCTCATAAAAGTTAAGCTTCCTTTTATTTTCCCTTTAGATGACTCTAAACAGGCCTACACAAATTTTAGTGTTAATTGGGGTTAGACATTGTGTCCTTCAGCTACTACTAACCTCTGTATACTCCATCCTATAATCATGGTTTCCCTCCCAGTTTGGGGGTCTAGTTATATCTGACATTTTCAACCATTATTTATAAATATGTGAGTTTTAAAATTAAATGTTCTCCCTCAAAAAATGTTCACAAATCACTTAGGCATTGATAATGAAACAAGTGAGTCTTATCAATGAGAGTAGCTTTAGGTAGGTGACCAAGCAGAAAGTTCATTCAAGGGTTGATGTTTTAAATTTTTACTTCTAATGATGTTGAATTTGAATTATTTATTGGCTCTAGGAGACTAGGATGTTGAATTTATTGTAGAACCTTGAAAAGTGTTGTTACCTCCTTTTGCTAGCACCTTAGTACAGATACAACATTGTTGCAGTGCCACTTCCTCTCTTAGAGGTCTTCATTGAGTATGTGAAATGACTCCGAAATACCAATTTCAGACATGCCCATTTTAGGTCATAGTTTATCTTTCACAAAGGTAGGCCACCATTTTGTCATTCTTTAGCAGGTGCCAATTGCTGTTAAGCTAAACTTGCTATAAACAATAGTAGTTCTCTGGCATGATGACTCTTATGGCCATCTGTTAGGGTGGCACTGTGCCCACCCATAGAGTGGTATGCCAGTTTCAACAGGGCACAGGTGCCAGCCAAACATAGGTTTAGAAGGCTAGCCTGCAAGAACTCAGCAAGGAGATCCTCCAAGTGGTTAGTGATGCCAAATTAGACCCACATGCTTCATTACAAGGGATCACATCTGTTGATGCTTGTGGGCATTATATTGTCAATTAAGGCTTTTCTTTCTGTTTCTTTATTCATTCCAACTTTGGAATGGGAATACAGAAAATCAGGAGCAAAATTACTCCTTGGCCAGAAAAATAATCAGTATTTCCCATGTCATCCCCTGATGTCAGTTTTCTGCAGCTCCAAACTTTATTCTAAATTATGTGAAAACCAAAAGACACATGATGCTAGCTTATGATGCTCTATTATTAAAGATGACATTTAGGAAACAACCAGCTAACTCTATCTCTGATTATCGACAACATTTTAAGAATTTATCTGCTGGAAACAGAGATTTTAATCCTAGTTAAGTGTGTGTCTCATGTATCACCTGTTATTTCTTTATTGAAGGATTATTTTCAACCAAAGACAAGATGGACCACAACGAGTCATTTATTATCCAGTGTTCTCTTTCATGTCTGGGCTGCAGTGCATGGCTTGACTCCAGAATAGTGTTATTACACCTTTGTGTGTTTCAAACTACACTACAGGTTAGGTATATGAGACATAAGGGAAATACAGCTACCTATGCCACATAGAAACACAGAAAGAGTTTTTGGAGATTTAGGAACAGAGGCAGGGCTGAGGTTAGAAAGCTTTCTTGTTGTATAATACAGACCATGGTAGTGTCTTAAATATGGGATGGTGTTTAAAAGTTCACATCAGTCATTTTCATTTCCCCCAAATGTTTATGCACCTAGATTACAGATACATTCATGAAGAATTACTAATACCATAGCTTGTCATGTAAAATAACCTAGAGGACTTTGGCGTATATGCTTGATTTTTGTGATTGCTAGCTTAACATGTGTATTTTCCCTCTCTCACTCTTTTCCATTGATAACACTAACATAAACAGAAATCAAAACTGGGCATTCTGTTGCATCCCAGTGTATTATTTCCTCATGGTACTGAGCATTCAATCTATCAATCCTAATTATCAGGCAGATTAGAAGTAACCAAAGCAGGATATATCCCACAAAAGCGCAGAAATTATAGGATGGAAACAGCATAAAGGGACGTGGGTGATGGTGGGGAAGAGGAAAAGAGTAGAGTAGTGAGTGCACAAGCATTGAGGTCACAGAGACCTGGGTTGGAATTCCAGCTCTACTCCTAGCTCCTATTAATACTACCAGTTACTACTAGCAGATGTGTAAGCTTGGGCAAAACATTAAACCTCTCTCATCCTCATTTTTCTCACCTGTAAAATAAAGACAATTATACACACACACATGCACGCACGCACACACACACACACACACACACACACATACCTACTGGCACATAGTGGGCACTCTGCAAATAGTTGTTATTAACAATATGATCACTATTATTATGGTGTAGAGTCAAGGAAAGGAAGGGGTGGCAGAAGAACAATCTTATTTTGTCAGCGTAATGACTTAGAGGGCCCACCAGGTGCTTCTTCAGAATTATTTTGGAAAGCTAAATGTATTATGATTTCCCAGCATACTCCCCACAGTGGCTGCCCTAAGTGCCATTATTCTCTTCTAGCCCCTAATCCCATCATAATGCCTTCACCATGCACAGCTGATCATCTTTCCTCTCTGCATAATTAACCTTTCTCTCTTTTAGGATTATATTTAACACATACAAATAAATATACATACATATATATAATAATTTTTTGGGGGGTATCCAGTGCCCTGTGGCATGTGGTTTTCTTTTTTTTTATTATTATTATACTTAAGTTCTGGGATACATGTGCAGAACGTGCAGATTTGTTACATAGGTATACATGTGCCATGGTGGTTTGCTGCACCCGTCAACCCGTATCTGCATTAGGTATTTCTCCTAATGCTATCCCTCCCCTTGCCCCCGCCCCTTGACAGGCCCTGGTGTGTGATGTTCTCCTCCCTGTGCCCATATGTTCTAATTGTTCAACTCCCACTTATGAGTGAGAACATGTGGTGTTTGGTTTTCTGTTCCTGTGTTAGTTTGCTGAGAATGATGGTTTCCAGCTTCATCCATGCCCCTGCAAAGGACATGAACTCATTCTTTTTTATGGCTGCATAGTATTCTATGGTGCATATGTGCCACATTTTCTTTATCCAGTCTATTATTGTATATAATTTTTATATTCAGTATAAAGAAAAGTGTAATGAACATGCATATACCCACCCTGAAGCTTAAGGCTCCAAGATTACAAACATCACTGAAGTTTCCTGTGTGCCACCCCTACCCTCATTTTATGCCTCCTTCATCCCCATGAGGGCAAACACTATTCTGATTTTATCTTTTCTTCTTTTTCATTGTTTTCTGTTATACTTTTATCACATATGTGATTGACATATGTGTCAATACTTAAATAATACATTGTCAGTGCTTTTGAGCATTATATGAATGGTGTCATACTGCCTGTTTTCCCTCTGCAAGTTGCTTTTTTCACTCAACATTATGTTTGTGCAATTCATCCATGTTGATGCATTTTTGCAGTTCATTCATTCTCATATAAATAGTATTTCATAGAATGAATGAAACATAATTTATTCATTCTTCTTTTGATGTCTATCTGGATTGTTTCCCACTTTTTGCTACTAATGAACATTCTTAAGCTTGTCTCTTCATGTACATGTGCAAAAGATTATTTAGGTATATACCTGGGAGAGAAACTGCTGACATTTAGGGCCTGTTTAACTTCAACTTTTCAAGACAATGTGAAACTTTTTTTAAAAAACTATGTTAATTAATACTTTAACCAGCAGTGAACATAATTCTCTTTGCTTTACATCCTGACTAGATCTTAGTATCATCAGACTTCAAAATTTTTGCCAATCCAGTGGTATAAAACTATACCCCATTCCTTCTAATCTGTGTTTCCCTTATTACTAATGAGGGTGGGCATCTTTCCATGTTTATTGGCCATTCGTGTTTATTATTCTGTGAAATGCCTGTTAAATGTTTTGCCTGTTTTCCTCCTGACTTGTTAGAAGTGACCCACTTTATCTTAGTATACTTTTTGCCTTAAAGTTGACTTTATCTAATATCAGTAAACAATTTCAGCTTTCTTTGAGGTGGTATCAGCATAATAAAGTTTATCACTTTCTGTTACCTTCAACCTTTCTGTTACCCTGTGTTTTAGGTGAGTCTCTAATAGCTAGCAGGTAAACGGATTTTTAAAAATTCAGATAAACAATCTTTGTCTTTCAACTGGAACATTTAGTTTACTTATACTTAATGTAATTAATGACCTATTTAAATCTACTGTTCTTATATTTTCAATTAGTCTTGGCTATTTTATTTAATTTTCCTTTCATTAATTGTGGCCTTTTAGAGTGATCACATGTGTTTGTATTCCATCCCCCTTCCTGTACTGGTTTAGAAGTTATATATGCTTTATTTGTTATTTCAATTATAAATATATATACTTTACTTCTATTATTTTCAGTTATACTATGCACACTTATTAAAGACTAATGGCAAGGAATAACTTTACCCTTCTCCTGGGGAGTACAAAGAGCTTAAGACAGTTTTACTCTATCATCCTTCCTACTTATATTACTATTAAATAATTTTATTTCTGTTTTTTTAAGCCCACCAGATATCATTACTACAGTTTTTAAAAATTGATACATAATACTTGTACATATTTATGGGGTACATGTGATATTTTGATACATGCATACAATGTATAATTATTAAGTCAGGGTAATTGGGATTACTATGGTTTTATACAATCAGTGGTCATTATATTTGCCTACACATTTACTACTACTTTTTTTAATACTTCTTGCATGTCAGACCTTCTATCTGTGACTACAGTCCTTCTGCTTGAAGTATATCTTTTAAAATTTCCTTCAGTGAGGCTCTGTTGGTGACGAATTTTTTGTTTACTTTTAAATATCTTTATTTCCCCTTTGTTCTTATAGTACACTTTTTTCTGAGTATAGGATTTTTTTTTTTAGCACATTGAAATTTTTATTCTACTCTCCTCTGGCTTCCATAGTTAGTATTTCTCTGGCTTACTTAAAGGTTTTCTTGTTTTCCTATGGTGTCTCTGGGTATAGATTTCTCTTTGTTTTTGTTGTTTTCTCTGTTTAGGAATTGTTGTGTTTTTGGAATCTGTGAATTAGAATTTGTTAGTTCTGGAAAATTATCAACCATTATTTCTTCAAATATTGCCTCTATTCTTTCCAGTTTTCCCTTCTGGGAGTCTGATTAGACTTATGCTAAACCTTCACATACTGTAATCCATATCTTTTAGCTTTCCTTTCATATTTTTATCTGTGCTCCAATCTAGGTAATTTCCTTAGATACACATTTTAGTTCACCATTTCTGGCTTCAGCTATATGTATTCAATTTGTTGCTTAAGCCATCCATTAAGATTTAATATCAGTGGTTATATTTAAGTTGTTTCTATTTTTAATTCTCAAATATTTATGTTCGTTGTTGATGATCTCTTGTTTTCTGCCCATTTTTGTTTCTTTTATTTCTTTGAAGATCCAGATTATTGTGCATTCTATTTTTTTTTTTTATCCGTAACAGTTAAAATTATTGGTTGGGTGCAGTGGCTCACACTTGTAATCCCAGCACGTGGGGAGGCCTAGGCTGGAGGATCACTTGAGCCCAGGAGTTCAAGACCAGCCTGTGCAACATGGCAAATCCCTGTCTCCACCAAAAAAAAAAAAACATTGGCCAGGGGCGGGGGAGGGGGTTGGGAGGTGGTGGCACACACCCATAGTCCCAGCTATGGGGAGGAGGGGACTGTTGCTGAGGCCAGAGAATTGCTTGAGCCCAGGAGGTCCAAGCTACAGTGAGCTGAGATCACTGTACTCCAGCCTGGGCGATAGAGGGAGGCCCTGTCTCAAAACAACAACAAGAACAACAACAGCAACAAATACTTAAAATTCTTAAAGGTTTAAATCTGTTCTTTCTTGTTTCTTCTGAGTCTTATTCATGGCAACTTGTTTCCTTATGTGGTTAGTGATTAAACACTTGTTTCCTTATGTGTTGTGTGCTTCTATTTGGCTAAACAATTTGTGGGGCTCTTATAGGTCTGGGTTGAGGACGGTTTTTTCACAGATAATTTTATGTCCTTTTGCTGGCCAAAAGGGATGCTACTATACTGGAATAACTTCTAGGCTTGGTGTTTTTCAGCCATGCTGGTTGAGTAAATTTAAATCCCAGTTTCTTCTAAAGGAGATCTCTGGAAACAAATTTTTGGGTTTGGGGTGCAGTAGAGATTCCTACTATTATTATTAATTCATGTCCTTCTGCAGCTGTGGTGAAGAAAAGTTTCCTTGTAGGCTTGCTCTAATGGCTGATAGATTTTGTTTCTGGCCTATTTTTCACTGACAATGTAGCACCTTGAAGAGAGCCAGATGTACCTGATTATCTCAAGTACAGCTTCTTTATTTGCCTAGGCCCAACGATTAGGATTTCATTTCCAACTTCCAAAACTCTACGTTACTGGCATGAATATCTTCACACTGGGTTTTCTTTACTTTTATATTGTTTACTACCCAGTTCTGGTTTCAGCTTGTTCCTCCTTCTTTATCTACCTCCTACCCCAACTTCTGTTTTTCCCTCCCCCACTACCTTCAATTCTTCTTACTTTCTTCTGAGCTCGGCAATGCATTGTAAAATATATTGTTATAAGTCATCCACAGCATTTAGAATTTTCGAAGTAGTAGGGCTATTTAGAATATCTTGTTCACAATGTTACCAAAATAGTTTTCCTTCTCTTAATTTCTAGTTCTCAAACTGTAGTGTCTTTTTTTCTTGCAAATAACACCTTTTTGTGTGTCCTTGATCTTATCTCTGCCCAACTCCTCCCAAACCTGGTTCTGTTATTTGTCCTGTTAGTCTGTTTCATCTTCAACATTTTTCCCTTCTGTATCCAAATACCTCAGGGTATCCTCCCTCCCAAGAAAATCTTCCCACAATCCTAGTAGCTCTCAACCTACTATTTTATCTTTCTGATTACTGTAACTAATCAATCAAATATTATCTTTCTATGGCTCACACCTGTAATCCAAGCACTTACGGAGGCCAAGGTGGGTGGAACACTTGAGGTCAGGAGTTTGAGATCAGCCTGGCTAACCCCGTCTCTACTAAAAATACAAAAATTAGCTGGGTGTGGTGGCACATGCCTGTAATCCCAGCTACTCTGGAGGCTGAGGCAGGAGAATCACTTGAACGCAGGAGACAGAGGTTGCAGTGAGCCGAGATCGTGCCACTGCACTCCAGCCTGGGTGAGAGAGTGAGACTCCATCTCAAAAAAACAAAACAAAACAAAACAAATAAATAAATATTATCTTTCTAATCATCTCCGTAGCTGGCAGCATTCTTTGACACCAACCCCCTTTCTTCTCTGAACCTTGAAACCCTTGGACTTCTCTCTCACTTCATATACAGGCTGTTGCCCAATCCTATATGATAGGGCTTGCTCTGGAACATATTTCATATCCATTTTTTCCTGTCCCAGGACACAGCCCCAGTTAATTATTGCAACCCTCTCTAACCAGTCTCTCCAGCTCAATCCTCACCAAAGTTGCATCTTCAATTCAGTAATATGCTGCCTGGGTTTTCCATTAAAATCACCTGAGGTGCTTTAAAAATTGCTAATACCCAAATCTCATCCCCAAGATTTCTGATTTGATGAATACAGTAGGGGGCTTTGCGCATCAGGCTATTTTTTTTTTTTAAAGCTCCCAGGTGATTCTAATGTGCAGCCAAACTTGTGATCTATTGTTCTAACCCAGTGGTTCTCACACTTCAGAGTGCATCTGAAACCTCCGGAGGGTTTATTCAAAGTGAGTGCTGGGCACCACCCCCACAATTTCTAATTCAGTAAGTCTGCAGCAGGCCTGAACGTCTCACAAGCACTCAGGTGAAAATGATGATGCTGGACCAGGGACCACAGCTCTAATTCTATAGCCGTAGCTAAACAACAGGTCTCATAATATCACTGCTCTGCTCTAAATCCTTTAAGGGTTCCCTATTAACTATCAAAATAAGTACAAGTCACTCTTTATCTGGCCTTCAAAGCCCTTTACCATCTCTTCCTAGATTCCTAATTCCTGCTATATTTTCTATTACTTTCCCTATGTACCAATCAAATGGGACTGCTGGCTCTTTTTTAAATCCAACTAGTATTATCTCTTGCCTTCATATATTTGCTCATATTGTTTTGTTTTTGAAAAATAAGCTTTGTGTATATTTGAGGTATATGGCATGATGTTTTATATATATAGTATAATGGTTACCATATGAGAACAAATTAACATATCTATCATCCCATTCTTTCCTCTCTGGCAAGAGCAGCTATAATCTACTCAGGAAAAATCCCAAATACAATACACTATTATTAGCTATAATCCTCATATTGTACATTCGATCTTTCAACTTGTTCATCCTACATGTTTTTTTATTTTGTACCCTTTAACTGACATCTCCCCATTTCTTCCCCCCACCCTGCCACGACCCTCTAGAAAGACTTTTATTCTGTCTCTGTATATTTGACATTTTATTTAAAAAAAGATTCCACATATAAGAGATATCGTGCAATATGATTTTTCTTTCTGTGTCTGGCTTATTTCATTTAGCATAATGTCCTCCAGATTCAGCCATGTTGTGGCAAATGGCAGGATCTCTTCCTTTTTTAAGGCCAAATAATATTTCATTACACACACACACACACACACACACACACACACACACACACACACACACACACAGTTCCTTTACCCATTCATCCATTGATGGACATCTAAACTGTTTCCATATCTTGCCTATCACGAATAATGTTGCAATGGACATGGGAGTGTAGATATCTTATATTAAGTGGTGATTTCATCTCTTTTGAGTATATGCCCAGAAGTGGGATTGCTGGCAATTGATGCTGATAATTGATTATGGTAATTACCATAATCATATGGTAATTCTGTTTTTAATTTCTTTAGGAACCTCTGTAATATTTTTATAATGGCTGAACCAATCTACATTCCCACCACCAGGGTACAAGTGTTTCTTTTTCTCCACACCCTCAGCAACCCTTGTTATCTCTTATCTTTTTGATAATAGCTATACTAACAGGTGGGGAGTGGTATCTCATAGTGATTTTGGTTTGCATTTTCCTGATAATTAGTGATGTTAAGCACTATTTACTCATATTGTTATCCTGGCTGGTGCTTATGTGTTCACCTTCAAAATTCTATCTCTCCTTCAAGGTTTATCTCACATACCTCCCTCAATGATATTTCCTTTTTCTCAGTCCCCAACTGCCAACACATACTCACACTCACTCACTCATTAACTCACTTATTTATTCAGTATCACAACAGGGTCTCCCCAAAATCTTTCTACTATCACAGGCTGCCCAAATGATGCACATTATATATGTGAAAGTATTTATGCGTAACCACTTCCACAATTTATCCAACTAAATTTTAAATATCTTGAAGGGAAGGAATGTACTGTATTATTAATACCTTATGTCCTTGCTATTCAAAGTGTGATCCAAGGCTAAACAGCATTGACATCACCTGGGTGCTCAATAACGATGTAAAAATCTCAGGTCCCACCCCAGAACTTTTGAATTAGAATCTACATTTAAAGGATGTGCAGGTGATTTGTATGCACATTAAATCTTGAGAAGCAGTCTGTAGTACCTAGAACAATGCTTGGCAAATACTAAGTACAGTTATGTGCCGCAGAATGACATTTTGGACAATAATGGACAATATATATGACAGTGGCCCCATAAGATTATAATACTGTATTTTACTGTATCTTTTCTATGTTTGAATATGATTAAATAAACATTTATTATACTGTTACAGTTGCCTACAGTATTCAGGACAGTACCTACTGTACAGCTTTGTAGCCTGGGTGTATAGTAGGCTACACCATCTAGGTTTGCATAAATGCACTCTAGGATGTTTGCACAATGCTGAAATCACTTAAAGATACATTTTTCAGAACGTGGCCCATCAAGTGACACATGATCATACGTGACGAATATATGTTGACCTGAATCATTTAGAATAGGAAATACAGCAGAATAGATCTATATTTTTTTCTGACCTTCCTCAGGGATACAGCTCATCAAATTGCATCCTGTATCATTGTGCGGTAAACAATAGGATTCACTGACTCAAGATTGAATCAGAAAACAAGAGTAGGTACACAGAGATGATATCAGAAAGTAGGAACACTTCTGTGGAAGAATTTGTAATCTAACTCAGCAGACTAGACAGACTCACTGAGAAGATAATCTCAGTTTGGAGTGACTAGATAACAACCTTGTTGTAGAACATTTCTGCTGAAATGCAAAGTCCTCACCACCTGTGGGGCAGCAGCACTGTGAGGACTGCTCAGTTCCCAAGAATTTCTCTCTCTCCTTATGGAGATTTGGGTTCCTTTATTCTTGAAAATTTAGACATTTTAGTTTGAATCCTAGGAGAGAAAGACTGGTCAGGAGGAGTATTGCCTAGTGCTGTTAGTCACTTCAATGTAAGTGACCACCTTGAATTAGTGCATAGGTCAGTGAATCATGATTATCTGGCAGACATTTTATTATCCCATACTTGATGGTATATTCTGTGTATATAGTCCATTCCCACTTTCACTGACAGGAATTAAATGATCATTTATCAATCAGAATTTTAAAATATTTATATCACACTTCATTCTGCAGAGGATTTAAGGCCATTTATAACATTTATATATACATGAATCAGATATGGGGGAAATATAAATCAAAATTTTAAAATATTAAGATTATAGAAAGAACAACACTTGTACCTAGATAAAAAAAGATCAGCAGAATTGTCATAGTTGAATTTCAAATTTGCATCTGAGCTCCCTGGAAGCTAAAGTGAAAAAGGGAGGCATCAGTTCTACCAGTTGTTTTTGCAAACTCGAATAATGAAAAGTGCCTTTTAAAGGGAAAAATAAACTACTACAAAACTTATCTGTTAGCCTACTTTTACTATACTGTTATCATACTATGGAAAAAATAAAAGTGAACACAAACTTCTCATGTCTATGGTCTTAGACCACTACAAAACTGAATATATATATTATATATTATATATATAACATATATATCATATATTATATCACATATATCATATATCATATATCATATATATCACATATATCATATATCATATATCATATATGATATATATCACATATATATCACATATCATATATGATATATATCACATATATATCACATATCATATATGATATATATCACATATATATATCACATATCATATATGATATATATCACATATATATCACATATCATATATGATATATATCACATATATATATATATATATAAAGCAAAACTACAAAACCAATGACATCCAAAATAATTACATAAATTTAATGGACAGATGATGATGTGCTGAAACTAAATTTTGAATGTTGGGCCAAGTAGAGAAAAGATGTATTATCATCCTTTGTTTTCTGCTTGTTTGTGGACTTGATCTTTTGGTTTTCTGCATGATGGACCATCATTTGGGTCATCATTGTTATCATGGTCATTATGTTTCTTCTTTAACAAGGAATTCCTTTAACCACCCAGCCATTTTGTGTTAGGCAAGGAAATTTAACAGTGCATTCAAAAATCTACGATTTACCAAACATAGAATTTAAATTAAAGTTATTCACTGCGTATTTTTTACAACTCTTACAGTGAATGAATTTAGAGAGTGGATGGAGTACATATTTTCCAAGTATGCTGCACTATGTGGCATGGCATAATGCTGAAAAGCCAGGGTTTGAAGTTTCAGGAGTAGGGTTGAATCCTGCCTCTAATATATATAAACAGTGCAACTTTGGGGAAATTACTTAACTTTTCTGGTCCTCTGTTTCATCATCCGTAAAATGGAGGTAATGATAATACCCTATTATTAAGACTGTTGAAAAGAATGAATGAGATAACGCATGTAACATGCTTGTATCAGTGAAGATTTAACCAGAGACCAGAATCAGCAGGAGATATGTACTAAGAGAGTCACTGCAAGGAATTGGTTTGCGTAACTGTGGGAGTTGGCTAGACAATTCTGAATAAATAGGGCAGGCTGTTAGGAAGGGCCTGGAACCCTTGGGCATAGGCTGAAGCTATGGCCCATAGACAGCAGAATTTCTTCTTCAGGAAAGCCTCAGTTCTGCTCTTAAGGCCTTTCACCTAATTGAATCAGGTCCACCTATATTATCTAGGTTAATCTCCTTAAAGTTAAACGATTATGGACTTTAGTCACATCTGCAATACATCTTCATGGAATGCATGAGTTAGTGTTTGACTGACTAATTGAGGACTGTAACCTAGCCAAGTCAACATACAAAACTATCACAGTGCCCAACATGGAGAATGACTTATAGTGACTACTTGGTAGATGATAGACAGCGATACTGTTGGAATGCTGCATGACCATGGGCAAGACATGGAAGTGTTTTGAGAAGTAGCCTGGGGTAAAACATGAGATTCAGAGTTGGAGAGACCCAAATTCAAATCCTATTATAGCAATTTACTAGCTGGATACATTCAGGCAAATGACATTTCCTCTCAAAGCCCTTGTTTCCTCATCTGTAAATAAATGTGAGATAGTTAGTACTCCTGACAGCTACCCTGTGAGGTAAGTGTTACATGAGATTAGGCAAAATGCTTGGAATGTATAATAATTCAACAATGGTAGAAATTCCACTTTTCCCATTTGTTTTCTTCTTAACCTCTGTGGTCATCTGCCTTCTTATCTATAGCATGAGAAAAAATATAATACCTACTGATAGTTTTCTAAGGATTGAATGAAATAATGCATTGGATCTTTAAATGTATATAGTAAGCACTCAATAAATGTTAGTCATAAATATTCATATTATTATTCTCTTTTTTAGCATAAATAAAGGTTTTATTGGTCAGTTTGGGTGAGTGACAAACTGACATGCCCCCAATTCACTATTCCACATAGCCAAGACCCTGAGGGGGCAAGAGGAGAAGCTAAGCTTATTGATGGTGGGCAATGGGTGAGAGGTGGAAAGGACTTGAAGGCCTCTGAGGGTTAACAAGGCTACCGGGACCGGAACCAGCATCCTAGGAATAAGTCCAGGATGGAGAAGGCATCATCCAGAGCTGGAGGTCTTGGTGATTTTGGATCATCCTAGGACTGCTATCTGCTTCGTGTTGGGTTACTGCGGTCTCTGTCTGGCCCTCACTGTCCACCACAGTCCAGCGCTCCTCCACTATCCCATCTGGCTTAGTGATTTTGGTCACAGAGATGCTCTTGAAGTAGATCTGGGCTGGGGCTGTAGAACCGGGCCAAGACGCTCCTGGGAAACCCGGGAATCAAGATCATTGTCCTCTCTGGTTCTAGGATGGGGGTCCACAGGCCATACGTCATCAAACCCATGAAATGGTCTCTGGGAGCCTCAATCTGGTGCTGGTTTGGGGGATTCACTTCTTGCATCACTCTCCAAGACCCCCTCAAAGATCCTGGGCTGGTGACTATCTGGATACTTAAGCATTGATTCTCGAAGTGCCTGTCCCTCCCGCAGTCTCTCACCAGGTGTCTCTGACTCAGAACCTGGAAGTTCAGGAGGATGGGAAGGCAAGGTCCAGGCCCCCATATTGCTGAAGATGCTATTGAAATCTTGTACTAGGTCATCAAAGCCGAAGTTATCGTGGAAACGTATCCCTCCTCCTGGGCTGAAGCTGAAGTCAAAGCCAAATTCCTTGTTGTGGGGGCGGAGGGGGGGCGGCGGGGAGGGGCGGGATGCTGAGGATTATCGAACCTTGGGTTCCCACAGCCCCATGAGCCCCCTTCTTCCTCTTCTTCCTCATCATCATCTTCATCTCGAGTCATCCCTCCAAAAAAGGGATCTCTGTAGCTCTGAGGTCCAGGAAAGCCGAAAAAGCCCCGGAAGAGATCAAAGAGGCTCATTCCCATATTAGAACTGGAATCTTTGAACCCCTCCAGTGGTCCATTCGCAGAAAGGGGAAACCTGCGCAGCCCTGTGGGAAATCGAGTGAGGCGTCAGCCCATATTACTATTCTCTAACCATCACTTCTTGCAGTTGGGCTTCCAATAAGCACAGAATAGCAGATAGCTTGAGATTGTCCACTCAGAGGAAGCCTGGAACCAGGGATTTCTATGTTGCTAGTTGAGGGCAGATTCATATGCTTTAGGGATCTAACCAAAACCTTGTTTTCTTATGTGAAATTGGGTACCTGCCTTCAAAATTGTAGATATTTTACCTCCTTGTATAGTATCTACAGGCAGAGACAGATTTTTCCCTTAGGAAGTAGTTAGGAAGTTTCCCTTAGGAAGTACTTCAAGTGAATAAGTTTTTAGGATTAAGTCATGGAAGTTGTATCTCATGAGGCTCTTCCCAAACTAGGGCACAATTTCCTATTAAAATGAAACCAATATTTTGCAGATTAACCATGCACACCAAACCTGAAACCTCCTTTCCCCTATCCCTTATTTCAAACCTATTCCCAACTCTTATTATAGACTCCACCTACAATATATTCTGAATCCAACAATATCTCAGCCCTGCTGCTACCACTGTAGGCCAAATCCCCATTGCCTCTGACCTAGCTGCTCTCTGCCCTCCACTGTAGCCTCATTCTAATCCATTATTTACAAATCAGCCAGAGGATCCTCTAGAAATGTAAGCCTGATCATGTTATTCCCTTCTTTCTGCCCAACAGCCTCTGCAGGTTCCTTACTGCACTTAGGATAAGGGCTAACATCCTTTATGACACACAAGACCCTTCATGGCCTGGTCTCTGCCAACCTGTAGTGGGCATTGTTGATTTGGAGCAGCTCAGTATTCATTCTTTCTTCCTAACTACATTCCACTTTTCTTTTAGGAAATAATTTCTTTCCCATTGGATATAGTCTGGGGGTACCATCAGACAGGCACTCTGTCCTGCCCTAGGTGGGGGCAAGCTCATATTGAAAACAAGACCATTAGGATGCTCCAGGAACTGGAGCAGAGGGACAAAGAGGCAGAAATTGGTTAAAGTTGATTCATCCAAGTGGGTAGCACCCAGACTTGGCAATTTGTATGCTGATACTCTTCCTGGACTTCCAACTCCCTAGCTCTTTGAAGCTTTCTAAATCCTGTTCATTTGAAAACTTTTCCATCAATCCTTTAAGCTCCCAATATCCTTCCCCAAACTCTTTCTCCTCTGTCATTTGTGTCACTTTTCTGCTTTCTCACTCTGATCCAGTTATATTGCTTGTATTAGTCTGTTCTCATCCTACTATGAAGAATACCGAGACTGGGTAATTTATAAAGAAAAGAGGTTTAATTGACTCACAGTTCTGCATGGCTGAGGAGGCCTCAGGAAACTTACAATCATGAGAGAAGGGGAAAAGGCACATCTTACATGGTGGCAGGCAAGAGAAAGCATGTGTGAAAGCAGTAAAAACTATCATCTATAAAACCATCAGATCTTGTGAGAATTCATTCACTATCCTGAGAACAGCATGGGGGAAACTGTCCCCATAATCCAATCACTTCCCTCCCTCCATATGTGGGGATTACAATTCAAGATGAGATTTGGGTGGGGACACAGAGCCAAACCATATCAATATGCTACATTACCTTTGCTCAGAATCTTCTTTCCCCACCTACTTTAGTCAGGTACTCACTCTCAAGATCTCAGCTCAAAGTTATTTCCTTATGATGCCTTCTCTAATTTCCCTCATTAGTTCAAATCCTTCTATTGGAGGTCTTGTGGAACTCTGCTTTTCCTCTATGTAGCTCTTAGTGCAGCTGTTATTTTACTGAGTTGTGTGAAACTTTGTTTCTCTTGCTCCTAGAATGCTAATTCCAAGAAGGCAGACATTGTATTCATTTTGTTTACTGATGCACCCTTGGTAGTGGGGCAGTGCCTACCATATACAAGGCTCCCAACAAATATTTGTTAAATAGATGAAAGCAAAATTTGTGTGGAAACTTAAGCCAAAATATGATACTTCTAAAACAATTCATGCTTGTTGGCAGTATAGCCATAGGAAAACACAGTCAGGCTTTTCTATAGCCAGGGGTACCTTAGTGGAAAAAATTAAGACATACTGAAATAGTTGTGACCCACCTCAACAAGACAAATGCTTGGAGATTATGCCTGCAGAAGTCATATTTCTTCATTCATTCATTTACTCATTCTCTTATTTATTATCTATTCACCCATGTAGTCAACAAAAATGTGTTTAGAACTCAATTACTGGGGCTCCAAAGATGAATAATGAGATCAGATAAGTTTTGAGTTTTAAATATATGTTTTTTGTTATAAATATAACCAGTTAATATAGAGAAAATATAAGTTAACTAGTTATTTGATGTAGAAATGGATATGCAAATAACTGATATTTTTTCCCTAAGATAATTGCCCTCATACAGTCATCAAAATAATGTTCATTGGGTTACTGTTTTTATTTTCACTTTTAAGATGACCTTCCTAATTATTTTCCCAATATCATGGCTCTTTATCTCAGTATTAGCAGAGACATTTCCATCTTTCATTGCCTGATATCCCCAAGTGTCTCCAACTAGATTGTGGAAAATTGTGAAGGTTTTTACCATGTTCATGCTACATAACTAATTTTCATTGGCCGTGTTTCTTAAAAAAAAAAACAACACACATACTACATATTTTAAGAGAGGAGATAAGTAGGACATCAAGTAAAATAACAACAAGATAAAGTTCTGTACTCCAAAAAGATTGGAAATTACTCATGTTATCTTTTAAGAGTCAGCTTCCGTCTATGATTTTTCTAGTCTCTCTCTCTCCCTCCCTCCCTCCCACCTTCTCCGTCTCTCCTAGGGTTTTAAAAATGTTCCAGCCCAACTCTGTCCATACACAATGAACATGTTACTCTAAATTCAATAATATTTCAGTTTTTAAAAAAGCATAAGTGATTGCTTCTTTGTTATTAATCACTTGCCCTACTTAATTCATTCATTATACTCAGAGGCTCTGAGATTAAGCCCCCAGGCTGGAGAGCTTCATATGAATCCTTTCTTTTTTATCTATTCCAAGTTAGATTAAGTCTAGGTCCTGTTTAATGAGGTGCCACTGCTGGGTTTTCATGCAGAAAGAATTCCTCATCCTCAGTGTTATGTATATACCAAATAAATTATCTTTTATTTCTTGAATCTCTGACTACTGTTTCCTGTATGAAAGACTGTGATTATGAGCTCCCTGGGATCTGGGCAGCTGGATTTCTTTGATATGGATTTTTTTTCCTTTTCGTCAAAGCCCTATCTTGTTTTTTTATTATATTTAGGGTGTGTGAGATTATGAAGAGTTTTATAGACAGCACCAAGTGCCATGCCATGATGAATTGAGTCAAGTTATTGAGTTAGGACTCCCCATGCTCCAGTCAATTTATATTCTTTGCTATAATCTGTTTATAAATGAGCAAAACTACTTTATGTTTCTGCCACAAATTTTATTGTGTGTGTGTGGTCACGTATGTTTGTGTGTGTTTTGGTGGGAGGAATTGTTAATGTTTTTATTTTTCATACATGGTTGTGCACACAAATTCAATAATTTAATTTCCCCTTAAATACTGCCTTTTCCCAAACATCCAGTTTCCAGATTAAAAAAATGCATATGTAAGAGTGTTTGCAGTGTGCACTACATTCCTTGAAGACTAGTCTCACAAGGCTCTCTCATCACAACTAAGAGTTGTCATCCTGTCACTACTAAAGTGTTCACTGCTGCTGCTGAGATAATGGTACTGCTTCCCCATGGGCCTGCTTGGATAGACTGGGACTCAGCAGCCCCATTGTAAGGTTAGGAAATAGTCAGGGAGGTGAAGAAGACCAACAACAACAACAAGAAAAACAGAACACAAGGGTGGGTGGTGGAGGTAGAAGGGAGAAGTTCCCATGGAATGCAATAAGACATCAGTACTGCCAGTACATTACCCCCAGTGGCACCATTCCCAGCCCACTGCAGACAATCTGGATCCACAAGTCTGCTTTTTGGGACAAATTAATGTGTTTGGTAAGAACTCACTAGCAATGAGGCCAGTGTCTTGGGTAATGTTATCATACGGTCCACTTGGCTTTGTATAGAGGAAAAATAGTTTCCACACACTCTTACTGCTGCTAATTACCAACAAAGAAAACCAAGACAGAGAGTAAATGACAGAGTACAGATTTCTACCAATAACCACAAATCAAATGCTGCAGCAGGTTATATATAATTACAGCCTATCCTTACAAAATCAATTATAAAAGAACAGGTGGATTTTACCAAGCTTAATATTCTGCTAATTTAGAGCTCTGTAGCAACACCATGCCAGAGCAGTGAATCTCAAACTTTTTCATACCATGCAGCAACAAGAATGCCTATCTGAACTCCTTGAATAACCACATGAGTCTGTTCATGATTGGAAGCTACAGATCCGGGGGCTCCAGCTGTCCCAGGTCTCACCCAACCAATATGAGAACTGAAGGAATGAATATAGGGCCACCACTGTATCCCACTAGTTAGATGATCTCTGTTCTAGACATTTTCAGCAAAATGGGATTCTACCACTTCATTTTAAAGTCAACTTTGATGGAATTACTCTAATAAGCACGTTTATCGATTTAAACCCTTGGATATGTATGCACGTGTGTGTGTGTGTATTTCTGTGAAAGCATTTCTATTTTTTTTTTGTTAAATCATTTCTCTTTCAACTTTATATTTCCAAGACTGAGTCATAAGGCTTATTGCCCCAAGGGAGGAGAGGACAAAACCTGCCCCAAACAAAGAGGTTGTTGATCAGCTGTAAGTCTTAAAAATTGACTATTTTGAGACCATAGAAAGACCATTGTCTTGAAAAACCAACTCTGTTGACAGATAAAATTATTTGCTAATTTTTTTTTATTTCTCATTTAACATATGACAAACTGGGCATAGCTGCCTAGATCATGGAGGTTTACTATATTCTTAAAATAGAGAAAACTCAGGAAGTGAGAAAAAAAGTTGAAACAGTTTTTTCTGTTCCTAGTTAGTAAAGGAAAAAAGAGAGAAGAGGGAAGGAGAAGGAAGAATTCACATGCTGGAATGTTTCTTGTCCCTGCTCTTGACATACTTTGGATTGGCCTTGGGACTCTTGCAAAGGCCCGCACAGGACCACATCCAGCATGCTTCAAAAGTAATAATAATACGGGAGAGCAAAGTAAGGAAGCTGGCCATGTGTGCTGAAGGCAGTGATCAAGTATCCCCATGGACTGGATAAACTGGAAGATTCAACATATCCTGATGAGGGAGTGAGGAGGGGCTGAAAATGCCTGTAGTTGGAGCAAAATTGTCTCTATGAATGAGGACTTCCAGTCTGAAGAAAAGTGATTAAGACTATGGACCCTAGTGCTGAGTGTCTGCTGGTTGCCTTGAAAGGTCAGATGGAACTCACTGTACCTTAGATGTCACTAGTCCAGGGGGCAGAATACAGCACGGAAGTCTTCCCTTAGCCATGGTTTCACTTTCTATGGTTTAACTTAGCCACCACCTACCACAGTCTAAAAATATTACAATATTTTGAGAGAGAGAGACCACATTCATATAACTTTTATTACAGTATATTATTGTAATTGTTCTACTTTATTATTAGTTATTGTTGTTAATCTCTTAGTGTGCCTAATTTATAAATGAAATGTTATCGTAGGTATATATGCATAAAATGTATTATGTATTGGATTTTATACTATCTGCAGTTTCAGGCATCAACTGGGGGTCATGGAACATAACCCCAGCAGATAAATGGGAACTATCATAGCTGTTCTGTTACAGACACTAGCTAGGATCTAGGAAACATCATGTGGACTCAGAGACACTATCTCCTCTGCCACCTTAGAGCAGATTCTAAGGTGGCCTTCTATGATTCCCAGCTGCTGGTGGTCACAACCTTGTGTCATCTCCTCTAGTTGATTATGGGCCGTACCTGTGGCTTGCTTTCAACCAATAGAATGTGCCAAAGGGGATGGGGTGTTTATTCCCATGATCACATTATGTCATATGTCAAATATGAAGGGATCTCACTCCTGTGATTATGTTATATTATACAACACTCTGTCTTGTTAGCAAACTGTCTCAAGAGTCTCTTATTTTCTGTTGCTGGCTTTGAAGAAGCAAGCTGTCATGAACCCTACTGCCACAGAGAAATGAATTAATGTCAACAACCTGAGTGACCTTAAAAGTGGATCTTTCCCCAGTGGAACCTACAGATTAGAACCCAGTCTTGCTCAGTACCCTCATTTATAGCCTTGTGAGACCCTGAGCAGAAGGCCAAGTTAAGCTGTGCCCAGCTCTCTGATCCACAGAAACTTTAATACATATGTGTTGTTTTAAGCCACAAAGGTTGTGATAATTTGTTATGCAGCATAGAAAACAAATATACCTAAGATCACATAAGCCTCGGCCCCCTTGTATACCTGCAGACCACCTTTTGTGTGTGTGTGTGTGTGTGTGTGTGTGTGTGTGTGTGTGTGTGTGTGTGTGTGATGGAGTCTCGCCCTGTTGCCCAGGCTGGAGTGCAGTGGCTGGATCTCTGCTCATTGCAAGCTCCACCTCCTGGGTTCACGCCATTCTCCTGCCTCAGTCTCCCGAGTAGCTGGGACTACAGGCACCCGCCACAACGCCCAGCTAATTTTTTTTGTATTTTTAGTAGAGACGGGGTTTCACTGCGTTAGCAGGATGGTCTCCATCTCCTGACCTCGTGATCTGCCCACCTCGGCCCCCCAAAGTGCTGGGATTACAGGCGTGAGCACCATGCCCAGCTAATACCTGCAGACCACCTTGAAGAAGAGAAGGAGAGGAGGAGAAACTCTGAAAAAGAAAACATTTATCCAACAGAGACTGAATTGAAAAAAGACCATTAAAAGCAGAAGACATTGAATTGGACCGGGTTTACTCAACTGCAAGACATTTTTCCTAATATATCCAAGAGTGTGGGGGTTGCCAAGATCATGTGGATGTTTTGATAAACTATAGAGAAATAAGGTACTTTTTGTATGTCTGAGTCTAGTAAGAGTAGATTAGTGACACACACACATACCTGCATACACAAATGCTTCAGACACACTATCGTGGTTATGTTGAAATTTATGTTCGGAGTCATTTTTAGGAGTTTCAATTCTTCTTGGATCCAGACCATTCATGTCTATGATACCTCTTTACTTTAACCTGATGTTAAATCGAGATCAACTTGTGAACATTGAGGAGAACAAAATACATTAATGAGCCCAATAAAGATCCTGTTTCTTTTCTTTTTTTCTTTTTTTTTTTTTTCCCTGAGGTGGAGTTTTCCCCGTTACCCAGGCCGGAATGCAGTGGCATGCAATCTCGGCTCACTGCAACCTCTGCCTCTGGGGTTCAAGCAATTATCCTGCCTCGGCCTCCCAAGTAGCTGGGATTACAGGTATGCGACATTACACCTGGCTAATTTTTTTTTTTAGTAGAGACGGGGTTTCACCATGTGGGTCAGGCTGGTCTTGAACTCCTGACCTCAAATGATGCACCGCCTTGGCGTCCCAAAATGCTGGGATTATAGGTGTGAGCCACTGCACCCAGCCCAATCCTGTTTCTTTGAACACAGTTTAATAAAATGAATAAAGCCTAGTATCTATGACTTCTGTTTGTGGGATTTGGACTGCTCAATATAATGAGCCTTCATTTGGGAAACTGTATCTTCATCTGTAAGAAACTTTAAGATATGGAGGAAGCATTAAAATGGCCCAGTTGATTAATTATACTTGGATGGAGTTCAGAATTGTTTATGGCAATGCATCTGGGAAACAGTAGCCACTGGCAGAGTTCAGGTGTCCTTCGGCAGCCACACGACTTGTGTTGACAGTGTGAAATGAAAGGTTTGCATTCTGACAGGGAAACTGGCATAGATCACAGGCACCATCCAGGATATTGTTCACTTGAAGTTCCCTGAGTGGACTCAAATCTCTCCAAAAAGAGATGCACTAATGGAGATTGTTAGATTCAATCTAACAATCTTGCCTGTAACATTTTGTTAGAGGCAAAATGATGGTTGGCACAGTATTTGTCTTTCCTACCCAGCTGTGCTGGAGCCAATCATTCCTAAGTAGCTGCTCCCCCATCACTTTATAGCAGAGGAGTTCCCTTGTTGGGTATCAGATACTTTGCTTCCCTGATCCCTTATTCAGTGTGGGCAGGACCCATTGAATTTCCATCCATTTGGTACATGAGGAAAGATTCATCTCTACACTCCTCAAATGAGGACCCAGGACTCCTGTGAGTCCTGGGCTAAGAAATGCCTCTGGGCAAGAATAGGCCAGAAGGAAATAAAAGGATATATTGTTTTCCTTCCAGAAATAGACATGAGGATGGGTGTAGAGTTCATCTGTCTTTAGGAGTGAGGTCTTGGCAGTGGTCACACCAGCAGCTGGCCACTCCAAGGGGTTGGCAAGCTACAGGTGCAGCCCAGGGCTTTAAGTACAACAATGCCTACAGCGCAAGGAGAGAGGAGAAATCAAACTGCTGGTAGTGTTGTGAGGTTCTTCCTCTTCTAGTTCATTTTCAGCAAAATTAAATGATCACCTGCTCATTTGATTTTTCTCACAAATGCATAAACCACTAACAAAGAAGTTATGGAACACAATAGATATGCACTGAGTTCACTGAGTTATGCTAATTTCCTCAAAAAATTGTGCCTTTTGAAAGAGAAAATAATCATTCTTAGGACAGTATGGAATAACTTCCTTTAAAAAATTTAAATCTATTTTTAAATATAAAGGTTTAAGTTGAGTAGAGTGGGCATGGAGATAGGGAAAAGGGAGAGAATTATTTATGTCCATGAGTTCGTGTGTGTGACTGTTTTCTTGAAACAGACATGGTGGTTTGGCTACTGCCCCATCCATATATTATATTTCCTAGAGCTTAGGCAGTCTACTTTTTCAAGAGGAATAGCAAAGAGTTTGCATTCCTCTACATCTGGGTACTATATTAGGGGCACTGAGCAGGAGGCCTTCTTCCCACTGACTTCTTTAGAGAAAAGAACAGTAACATTTCAGCTCCATAGTGGGCTGTTATCAAACATTTTGAACCATAATCTTGTAATTGCTATTAATGTTGCATTAAAAGATTATTTAATGAAGGAGATCATGCCAGGAACAAGCATTATAATAACTCCAAGCAGCCTGCCTTCCACATACCTAGAAAAATTCCCTACTATAGTGGAAAGTGAAGATGAGCACTGCTTGCCAGTTCTAAATAATAGGCTTCATACTAGAATTATTAAGACCTGTTGCTTTTGTCATGTGCTTGCACACATGTGTGCACATGCACACATAGACACACACACACCCCCCCATAGACAGAAATACAAAATTGATACCAGTGGCTCACAACAAGTCGAACAGAAGTTTCTAGCTTCAACTGCAGTATTTAATCCGAGATAGTGGGGTAAGAACTTTATATAGAGAAACTCTATGGAGTCGGCCTTCAAGTATGTTTTATGTAGAAAAAGATTTCCTCCGCCCATCTCTCCCCAGTTTCTAGGTACTCTTTTCTTTTGCAGCCAGGTTTTCAGAGGCTTGCATCTAAATCTGGAGGAAAAGCCATGTTTGCACTGAGAAACTGGGTGGCAAAGCAGAAGAATTACCTGATTGCAAACTAGTATAGGTATTTCTTTGGACAAAAATTAGGTTCTGCATGGCGCAATATGGCCTTTTAGGCACACATCTGGTTGGTGTATTTTACAACCCTTGTTTTGGAAAGCTACTTTAATCTTCACCTGTGTGGAGAAGCAAAACTGAGACTGAGACACAAAATTTCTGTACAGCAAACCAGAGTTTGGCTTCTGTAAGCAAGTCCCCCAAACACCAAGAGCTTGTCTGTAGTTACCAAAGAAAAGGAACTATCCTTTATTGAATTTTTGTCATGCTCTAGGCTTTGAGATCAATGCCACATACATATCTAACTAGGGCAAGGTTTCCCAACCTCATAATTATTGACATTTGGGACTGGAAGACTCGAGGGGCTGTAGTGTGCCTTTTAGGATGTTTAGTGTCATCCCTGACCTTCACTCACTGGATGCCAGTAGCACCACCCTCCCCTCAGTAATAACAACCAAAAATGTCTGTAGACATTGCTCAGTGTCCCCTGGTGAGGAGCATATTTGCCACCAGTTGAGACCCACTGCTTTAGTGTGATTCTCAAATCCTATGTATTAGGTGCTATCATTATTCCCATTTAACAGATGGGGGAACCTGAGGCACTGAGAGGTAGTGGCTCACCCAGGATCATATGAGTAATGTGTGTCAGATCTTCCAGCTTCTTCTCTTCTGTGCTGTCTCCAGCCTATTAGGTGATGAGAACAGCAGAGTGGATGATATGGTTGGGCTCTGTGTCACCACCCAAATCTCACCTTCTAGCTCCCATAATTTCCCACATATTGTGGGAGGGACCCAGTGACAGATAATTAAATCATGGGGACGGGTCTTTCCCATGCTGTTCTCGTGATAGTGAATGGGTCTCATGAGATCTGATAGTTTTTAAAACAGGAATTTCCCTGCACAACCTCTCTTTTCTTCTCTGCCACCATGAGAGACATGCCTTTTGCCTTCTGCCATGATTGTAAGGCTTCCCCAGCTATGTGGAACTGTAAGTCCAATTAAACCTTTCCTTTGTAAATTGTCCAGTCTCAGGTATGTCTTTAACAGAAACATGAAAACAGACTAATACAGTAAATTGGTACCAGTAGAGTGGGGTGTTGCTGAAAAGATACCTGAAAATGTGGAAATGACTTTAGAACTGGGTAACGGGCAGAGGTTGGAACAGTTTGGAGGGCTCAGAAGAAGACAGGAAAATGTGGGAAAGTTTGGAATTCCCTAAAGACTTGTTGAATGGCTTTGACCAAAATACTGATAGTTATTATGGACGATAAAGTCCAGGTTGAGGTGGTCTCAGATGGAAATGAGGAACTTGTTGGGAACTGGAGCAAAGGTGACTCTTGTTATGTTTTAGCAAAGAGACTGGTGTCATTTTGCACCTGCCCTAGAGATTTGTGGAACTTTGAACTTGAGAAAGATGATTTAGGGTATCTGGCAAAACAAATTTCTAAGCAGAAAAGCATTCAAGAAGTGACTTGGGTGCTGTTAAAGGCATTAAGTTTTATAAGGGAAGTGGAGCATAAAAGTTCAGAGAATAAGCAGCCTGACAATGCAATAGAAAAGAAAATCCATCCCATTTTCTGAGAAGAAATTCAAGCCAGCTGCAGAAATTTGCATAAGTAACAAGGAGCCGAATGTTAATCCCCAAGACAAAGGGGAAAATGTCTCCAGGGCATGTCAGAGACCTTTGCTGCAGACCCTCCCATCACAGGCCTGGAGGTTTAGGAAGAAAAAATGGTTTCCTGGGCTGGGCCCAGGGTCCCTCTGCTCTGTGCCCTGCATCCTGGCTGCTCCAGCTGTGACTAATAGGGGCAAAGGTGCAGTTCAGGCTGTTGCTTCAGAAGGTGGAAGCCCTAACCCTTGGCAGCTTCCACATGGTGTTGAACCTGCAGGTGCAACCTTTCTTTTGGAAATTGTCTAGTCTCAGGTATATCTTTATCAGCAGTGTGAAAACAGATTAATACAGTGGGCCTGACCATCAGTTTGGGGCCATCTAGGAAGTAGGTTACTTCACATGTTGACACCTGAGTTTCTGTCCAAGCTTTAAAGGAAGCAGCACTAGAATTATGGCTGGAAGCCTGAGGACCTACCCCAGAATCCTTTGCTTCACACTCAGCAGTGACCATTATCATCATCATCACAGGCATGGAAGAGATTTCAGGTTTTGAAGATTATCTGTTTTCTAGAGCTAGGCCTCATTATCTTTCTGGATGTCTGGGTTTCAACTACAGCCAAATAGAAAGAAAAGGAGTGAAACACCAGGAAGATTGGGTTCTGATCTTGTGTAACTTTGGACAAATCCTTGCCCTTCTCTGTACCTCATTTGGACATGTGTGCAAGGAGAAGGTTAGACCTTATTATCTTAAAAGGCCATTTTAGCTCCAACATCTTATAAGAGGGCTTAGCCAATATTAACTGTAACTTGTATTACTTGCCCTTGGGACTCAGCATTGCTGGCTTAATGGCTTTGAATTTGGTAAATGGTTTGGAGAAGGCTTATTGAAAGCATCTCACAAATACCTTCCTTCTGCAGACTTAGGAGGACCTAGGCACAGACTATTTCTGAGGGAGAATACAGAGAGAGGAAAATTCCTTGTCACTGCTTGTTTTTCTACATTTTAAAAACCACTGCCACCAACCTGGGGAAATGCCACTGATTTGGCATCTTGAAAAGAGTATAAAGACTTTTGCTCACAGTGCTATGGCTTTTATTAGATTTCTGGGGAAAGAACAGCAAAGCATTCCTTATTATATATCTTCAGGTCAGGATTGTATTGCTTTTGGCCAAAGGCCATTGCAAGACTTATAAAGCAAAGGGTAGATTCAATGTGATTTTTAGAAGAAATTGTAAAGATCAGAACAGAACTAAGTTAGAATAAGTCTCTGAGTGTAAGAATTGTCAACATTATAGCATTTTTTCCTAAAAGGAATAATCATTCTTTGCTGTTTGAACTAGGGTCTACAATAGCTTATGCTTCAGTGTTTGAATAATTCAATGCAAATAGACACTTGAAATATATGTCTGCAAAATCCCATAAGTAGTTAAAATTAGCCCCCAAACTTTTGAGCTATATTCAGAAACAGATGACTTTGTGTACAGCCATGGACTTAGCCCACATATACGTGTTTCCCAGACTAGGAGATTCTGGCTGGTTCTGCCTTCAATCATGAAAGTCAGCATGCCTTGGAAATAGAGTGCTGTAAAGGACTGGTTCTCCACCTTCACTGCACATTTGAAACACCTGGGAGAGCTTTAGAAGCTACTGTTGCAAAGGTCCCACTACCCAGGATTCTTACTCAATTGGCCTGGCATGTGGCTTGGGAATTTGGGGTTTTTAAAAGTCCTGCAGCCGAATGAGCAGGCAAAGTTAAGAACTACTCTGTAAAGGCTTTTCTGGAAGGTAAGTTTTTCCAAGTGATTCCTTTTTACCATCCCACAACTATCTGGGAAATTATATGTGGGAATGAAAACAGTTTGGGGCATGCAATAAGTACTCAGTCAGTGTGTGCTCAATATGAATCTGAATCTGGAAGAAATATGCCTTTAACATAGCCAGGCCATCAAATGGAGTGTCTGATCAAATATAGTTTTCCATATTTTTTTTGCCTCCACTTCTCATCTCAACTCCAGGTCTATACATCCAGTTGTCCAATGGACATCACTTACATGTCCCATGAGGACCTCACTTCCCATACACCTAGGCGTGGACTTGTGCTTGTCTTTCACAAAACCTGTTTCTCTTCCTCGGTTCTCCATATTGGCAGTGAAAGACACCCATCTAACCAGACACATAACTCATCTCCCTTCTCCTCTCTCTTCCCCACATCCACTCATGTATAGCCTTTTAAATTCTACATTAGAAATTTCTTTTTAATATGCCTCCTCCCTCCTTTTCTCTTTTTTTCTCCATCATCATCATCACTACTTTAATATAAGGACCTCTCATCCCTTATTGCCTTCCAGAGGCTCAGGACATTTCAATGCTGGCTGCTAAATAGAATCATCTGGGGGAACTTTGAAAACATCCTGATGTCTGAGATCACCTTCAGATACTGGTTTCAAATGTTCTGGGATGGGTCAGCATATAGACTATTAAAAAGTAAACTCCCTGCTTTATAATATGTGGCAGAAGGTAAGGATCTCTGCATCTTATAGACTTCTCTTAATAACTTCCTGCCTCCAAACATGTGTTATCTGCTACCTGCTGACATAATCTTATGAAATTCCTGTTTAAACCCTTCAGTTGTTCCCTATAACCTCTATGGTAAAGCCCAGAGTCCTTTGCAAGGCATTGGTGGTCCTTGGAGATCTGATCCCAGCTGATTTTTATGCTCCATCCCTTACCATGTCCCTTTTGCATATTACTTCATCGGCTCACATCCCTGGAGTTTGTTCACACTGCTCCCTCCCGTGAGTGCCTTTTCCTCCTTCTCTGCCCAGCAATAATTCATCTGGATCCTTGTCTTCTGGGATCCCCAAAGTACACTGTTTAATCTTTGTTCTAGCACTGATCACATTGTAGACTAGTCAAAGTTGCTTAAGTGTTTGTTTCTCTACCTCACTCTGCTTCAAATGGATTTTTATCTCTTTGAGGACAGGGACCATGTCATATTCATCTTGTATCCCTACTGCGTGGGTCACTATGCATTGTAAAGATTCCATAAAGTGATTAAACCAATAGGCCAGTGCCTAGTTCAACCCTGTACATCAAAAGGAATAATATTGACACAATACAAATTATTTATGAAATTTGTTCTCCCCATTATGAGGCTGAGCCCAACATAAATTTGTTATCTAGTTCTCAGGGGGAAAAAATGACAGTTTCTTTAGGTATTTTATTATGGTCTCACAAATACAGATTCTGATGTGAGTCCAAAATGACCACATTAATGTTTGCAAGGTACTGGAGAGGTGAGGGTGAGGGTAAATATAAGAGTGCTTTTAGAAAACTCTTTTGTAATGTTTCCAGGTTTGCACTCTGTTCATTATCGCAGCCCCATTCCTTTATGCAGATAGAATTTGGGTCACTGAATTACAGTATGGAAGAATTTTAGAGAAAGATCGATTAATTGGCCCCTTTTGGTGCAAGAGAACTTCAGTCTGGCTCCTATGGCTTTAGTAACTTTGGCCTTTACTATCTTAGCATGTCATTTCCAGGAAAGTGCTTAGTTAAAATAAATACCTAGCTATTTATATACCCAGTATCAATCAATTGACTGACAATATGGAGCCCATCAAATTGTCATTTGTCCCTCTCCCAATCATCAATTTTTTTGGATAATTAATATTTCATGATGATTCCTTAAGTGAATTATTCTATGCAGATATATATTTGGGCTCCTGGGTGAGTATTTTTGTATGTATTTATATTATACCTCATTTCACAAAGGAATTAAGGTAACTTGTAAGAGGACAAAAAATTACATAAAAATTAAGAAAAAATTCCAGGGTTATAATGGTTATAAGTTTTAATAAAATATTGGCAACCACAGGGATAGATGTTTCTAGGGTCACTTGAGGGAGGAAAAATACTGCACAAGATAGCTTTTGAAATTTTGATATTAGATTGTTATCTTGGATTTTATAGAACAAAAGTAAGACATGTATTTATAAAATATTTACTATAAAGGAAAAAGTTTCATGACTGCTTATACTGTACTTTATTGATTTTATGTTAAAAATGTAAACAAAGATTATCAGCAGTATTTATTACAAATATTTCTAGGACTCTGTTATCAAGTAACAAACTGGAACATTATCCAATAATACCTCGGCAGGACAGATCAGAGCCCAGGATTACCTTACTTTTTAAAAATGACAGAGAATGGGAGGAGAACACAAGTATACAAGGAGAAAAGTCACTAGGGACAGCCAACACAGTAAATAAACAGAATAATAATAGCAGGCCAAAAACTTAGTTTATTACTTGTACACAGCAGCAATTTAGAATTTGTGCAGAGATAATGAAATGCCCTATAATCTGATTTCCAGATTAAGTGTGTCATTAAGATAAAAGTTGAATAGAAGCAGGACTAAGGTATGCCCTTGCTTCACTCATGGTCAAAGAACTGGCAATTCCTACCTTTATTTCATCTGGGGTGCTGGTGAGAACCTGTTGAAGCAGAACTAAGAGACGCCTATCAGTGATGATGAAAGGCTATTTGTCCAGAGCTGATTTCTTGTGACAGAGCCAGAGGCTGCAGCAAAATCTACAAATGCAGCAGGGTAGTGTTTAATAGGGCTTCATATACTTTGTTGTACAAAATAATAAAGATGTTTTATTATGTGTAAAATTTTTGTTCACTGAGAGCAAGTCATGCTAAACTAAACTTAATGCCTTAATCATCTATTTAAAAAGAGTTTTCAAAGTCTGTTATTAGACTCATTTGATCGGGAGATTGTTATAGATGTAATACATCTGGTTTTCTGCAGTGTTTGATATTTATTCATTCAACAAATATTTGTCAAATAGCTGCTATCTGCTACTCCATGCCAGGCACTTCTCTAGGCACTGGGGAAACAGCAGTGGACAAAACAGTTAAAAACCCATGTTTCTTGGAGCTGACATTCTAGTGGGAAAGAGAGAAAACAATCAAGTAAATAATATAATGTATCTGCTGATGTCATTGCTGGGGGTTAGAGAATACTTGGCCAGTGGGGCCTGAGATGGGATGGGGGATATTATTTAATATAAGATAATCAGGGCAGGCCTCTCTAATAAAGTGACTATGAGCAGAGACTTGAAGGAAGAAAGGGAGAAAGTCATGTGGCTATCTGGGTAGAGTATCCCAGATGGAAGGAACAGCAAATGCAAAGGTCCCAGAGTACAAATGTTAGTGTTTGAAATGTGGCAAGGAGGCCAGCAGGACTACAGCTGATCGTGCCAGGAAGATAGTGAAAGGAGAGAGGAGGAAAGAACAATGGCAGGAGATGAGAGGAAGGGACACATAATGTTGCTCAGTCATAGTGAAGACCTTGGGGTTTACTGGGAGCAGAATGGGATGTCATGTTCTCCTCTGGCATCTTGAAGACAGAGAAATGAAAACTGAATAGAAGTACAGGTAAGTGAATTCCTGGCTGATGAAGCCACTACGTGATGATTAATGGATCAGTGTAACAATGGAGCGAGGTCTATCATGGAGTTCTGCACTTGGCTGTACTATCATATGCAATTCCTTTGACTTGCGGAAGTAATCATGATTATATTAATAATAGCTAATACTTATCTAGCACTTACTGCAAGCCAAGCACAGTTCCAATTGTTTTACATGTATTCCCTCATGTAATTCGCACAACAGCTTTATGATTAAGTGTTATTATAATCATCACTGATAAAGCTATGGAAACACTAAGATGCAAAATAAAGTGCCCTGCCTGGGTCACAAGGCTAGCATGATGTTGACCTGGTTCCAGAGTCTGTCCTCACAATCATTATACCACACTCTCAACATAGAACACATACATGGTCACCAAATTTTCAGATAAAACAAAGCTGCCATAAATGATAATATGTTCGCTGACAGAAGCAGGGTTCATAGGAGACACATTTTTCCGTGGCGATCTAGAACATGAACACACACACACACACACACACACACACAAGACTTATATAGCAGTATTCACTTTTACTATGTGAGATGTACTGTATCTTTTCTTTTTCTAATTTTAATTTTTTTAAATAAGACATGACAACCAAACAAATTTTACATATCAATAACAGGTCCCAGCCCACAGTTTGAAAAACAGTTACCTACACCAATGTATTAGTGAAACCTAGTCCTCCCAGAATACAAGGTATGACTTGCATTTATCACCCAACCCACCTATATACATATGTATACCTCCTGTCCAGATATTCTCTGGTAGTTGTACTCTCTAACTGAATAAAGAAGAGCCTTATGAATGGGCTGTGGGGAAAATGGTATTCTGGCTATATTAAAAAGTCGATCCATAGAGTAGAGGGACAAGCACCCAGTTTTTTCATTAGGGAGATCTCACATAACTGAACCAATGGGCAGATAGCCAGAAGGCAAGTTCTATGTCCAGCTGTATAGCATAGACTAGAGCATGGAATACATTGTCCACTGACGTGTCAATGACTTTGTGGTTGCACTTGACAGAAATTCCCCCATTATTTTGGAAATAGGTTTGTCATCAGCCCTAGTGTTCTGTGAGTTTCATTTTTTCTTGAGTGTCTCTATACGTATTTTAAGAGAAAAACTGCATCAAGAGCTGATAATCTTAACTATGATGTGGTAGATAGTTTTTGCTAAAATTCAAATCTTATTATTGAATAGTAGGAAAGATAAATTTTATTTTATAGTCCCCTTCCTTCATGTCTTTTTTTTTTCTTTTTAGCATAACACACTATCATTTGGGTCCTGGTCATTTATTGTCACTATTTTTCATTTATGACAGGGAACTAGATCTTAGATGATCATTGATTTATTTTGATGAAACAGTAAATTTCATATCCCTAAACACAACATTGAAATATAAAAATACCAATTAGGCCAGGTGCCGTGGCTCATGCCTGTAATCCCAGCACTTTGAGAGGCTGAGGCGAGTGGAACACGAGGTCAGGAGATTGAGACCATTCTGGTTAACATGGTGAAAACCTGTCTCTGTGAAAAATACAAAAATTAACTGAGTGTGGTGGCATGTGCCTGTATTCCCAGCTACTTGGGAGGCTGAGGAAGGAGAATTGCTTGAACCAGGGAGTGGGAGGTTGCAGTGAGCTGAGATTGCACCACAGCACTCTAGCCTGGCAACAGAGTAAGACTCAAGACTCCATCTCAAAAAAAAAAAAAAGAGAAATTCATCTTTACGTATTTAAACTACCATTAATGTAATGACTTGGTAAGTACATCGTTTTGCAATATAAGTTGGTCTGTCTGCTATGCCACAGGCTCTTGAGAACTTGCCATGCCTATAGAACAAAGGCCGCATGTCATCTTGGTCCTCTTACCTCTCTTCCCCTCTTTGAATGACTCTCTTTTCTCTTGGTCTTTCATGATAGCATTTGCCCTTTACTTGGTACCAAAGCTCTTGTATAAAAATGCAAGTTCTGAAAGTTATATTAGCATTTAGTTACAAGGTGGCCACTAGATGAAAGTGATACTTTTGTAATAATAAATGAAAATATAAAACTAAATAATTTTTATAAAACTTCAAGATCCCTGAAAATTTGTCATTTGGTTCCAGTTTGAGAAACACTGAGTTACACAATTGATATATTTCTAATGAAAGATGCTACTATTTATTCAAAGGAAATAAAGTATTTTATGGTGGGAAATGTTAAGTTTATCCTATGGCTTTCCAGGGTGAAAACAGCAAAAACAAGGCTGGTGTTACATAGTTCTTTCTCATAACAATATGAGCACACCAAAAGTGACTTTGATGGAGCAAAGGCAATGTGGTTCAAGCAGGCACCATTCTGGTGGCCAGGCTTAATCCCAGGGAAGAGTGTGAAGAAGCTAGTAAGGTGGCTAGTGGACTACAGGTCCTTCAGCTTGGTGTCTGGTGCGGCACTGTGCTTAAGAGCATAGGCTGCCAAAAAAAAGCACGGACTGGAGAGTCACAGATCTGGATTTCAATCCTGGCTCCACATCCTATGCTGATTTCTGTTATTTTCTCATTAGCCTGAGATATTTAAAATATTTCTAATTGGCAGCAGTGTTGCCGCAAACACAAAAGCCAGAATGGGCACTAAAATCACAAAGCAGTGCCCAGTTATAGGGGGTCATCCAGATGGTTTCTAAAATTCTTACACTGATATTAATATTTTAGATCTTCTATCAAAGTTAAAATCCACAATTTAAAACATTGTTATGTAACTACAGAACCTCGAGAATATAGCGGTGGACCTTAGCTTAGGAAAGTGGGTTAAGGGAAGTCCCAACATTCTGTAGTAAACCTTAAGTCAGATTAGACCTTGCCTTATTTGAGGATGAAGTAAGTGAGCACAAGATCTAAGAAAACAGTATATCTAAACAGGACTGAGAGAGAATGTACCTTACAGCCTGTCTGCTCACACTGCAATATGCATGATAATCCCGGTGTATCGTGTAAAATGCAAATTGCCATTCTGCAAGACCAGGCTGGCCTAAGATCATTTATTTCTAACTAAGCTTCCCGGTTATGCCATGCTATTGGTCTGCAGACCACTCTTTGAGTAGGAAGGGATTAGAACTCTGGTTCTCAAATTTGGCTACATATTTGAATCCCTTGGAAAGATTTAAAAAATACTTACGACTTGGGCCCACCTTCTGAGATTCTGATCTAATTGATATGGAGCCTGAGCTAGGCATCATGGTTTGTAAAAGCTCTCAGGGTGATTTTTATTATGCAGCAAGTATGAGAAGCACTGCTTTAGAGAAAGCACCCAGAAGTAGGTGAATAGAGGGGTGGCAAGAGGTCTAGAAATCATTCCACATAAGAGACAGCTGAAAACAAACCAGGTTATTTAGCCCAGATTAAGAGAAATATGTGTGTGCATGTTTGTATATAAGGTCTCTGTGTTCTTATATTTGATGGCAGGTAAGTAGACTGAGTCTGATTGTTGCAGAGGATACAGCTAGGGCTGAAGGATGAAAGCTGCAGATTAACTTGATTTCAGCTTTTCACTTTAGCACAAGTTTGTGCTTTCTGACCTATTGGGCTGTCCAGTAAAGGAACAATCTCTCTGACAGAGTAGTGAGTTCCCCACCTGTCAAAGTGTACATGCAGAAGCTAAGTGCTGGTCTGCTGGCTGGGTTTCAAAAGGCTCTGTATTAGTCCATTATCACACTGCTATAAAGAACTACCTGAGACTGGGAAATTTATAAAGAAAAGGGGTTTAATTGACTCAGTTCTACATGGCTGGGGAGGCAGGCCTCAGGAAAATTCCAATCATGGCGGAGGGCGAAGAGAAAGCAAGCACATCTTTACATGTTGGAGCACGACAGGGGTGGGGAGTGAGGGGCTTCTCCTCCAACACATGGGGATTACAATTCGAGATGAGATTTGGGTGGGGACACAGAGCCAAACCATATCAGGCTCACTGCAAAGGCTGGGAGTTTGAGCTATCTGACCTCAAATTTTCTCCAGAGGGGCATGGCTCTCAGAAGCCCCCTGATTGGACCCCAATGTCTGCCCTACCCATGTCAGGTTGTGATTCTGGAAGTTACTTTATTCTTTAAAAGTTTGAGCAACTGGAGAATAGATATAGCCAAAGAGACCTCATTATATGACTAGGGCTTTAATTATGACTTTTTTTCCTTTTAAATTTGAATAGTACATCATTTTTATGCAGTTGATTAAATAATAAACCTACCTTCTCACCCTTATTTGTGATTGCATTCATAAGCCATGAATAATTAGAAATAATATTTGAAACAAAGGCCTTCTGGGCTTATCTCATGAAAAAAATAATTAAACCATAATGAAATTTCGTAAGAATAATCAGCCTCCCTACCCCCATTCCCAAAGACCCCCCCCGCCACACACACACACACACACACACACACACACACACACACACTATATTTAATATTTCTCAAAACCAGGAGAATTAGTGTGGGTTGTTTGTTCTTCCATGTGTCTCAGCATAGTGCTGTGCCTGTGTGTGTCTGTGTGTGTGCATGTATGTTTGTAGTCTTTGGGTGATGTTGTTTATCTCTGTTAGATTTGCCCTCATTTTGTGTTGACCAAGTGGTCAAATCTCAGACCTCTCAACAGAGGCAGTGTGGGGAAAGCAAATGGGCTTGGGAGTCAGCACAGGGGTCAATCCTGGAGCTGCCATTCCCTAGCTGCCCCATGATCTTGGGCAAAGTGCTTTGATAATAATGCCTTCCGTATAGAGCTGTGGCCATGATCGCTGAGATAACACCTTTTAAGTGTCTAGTGCAGAGCAGTGCTGGGCACATTTAGGGGCTCAACAAAGGGCAACTATTACTGATATACTGCCAGTATGATTTATAAGCCCCTGACTCCCAGGCACTTCATACATATAAATGAGTAGTATGTAATCGTGAATGGGCAGCTGACATTCCCCAAAATGGCAGCTGTTTTGTGTTTGCTGATCCAGAATGCCTGAAAAGTGATTTACCTAACGACAATGCAATTTTTGGAAAAATGTGGAGAATTAACAAATCCAGATATCTGAGATTCTCTGCCACCACTCAGTCCCTTCTAGCTCCTACTGTTGCAGACAGTAAAAATGATACTAATGATGACCTGTGCAGCAGCAGCTGTGGAGATGACATTTCTGGAGCTCTTACCACATGTCAGGTACTGCTCAAAGCTTTCCATGCATTGGCTCTTTAATATGAAGTAACTATTGTTGACTCCGTTTTACAGATGAAGAAAATGAGGCTCAATGAGATTGGGAAGTTGCCCGGGACTACACAACTGATACGTACATGAAAGTATGGGTTCACAATCCCTTGTCTGCAATTCTGAAATCCAATATGGATTAGAAACTGAATTTCTTTTTGCAAGTTTCCAGCAAACTTCTTTGATGTCCTAACTCCTTCTGAACAGACTGTATAGCTATTTGCAGCCTATTTATTCTACTTAATCTGACCATTCATCTGCTTCAAGTCAGAAAAATTACTGTCTTGATTCCAGGGTGCTACTCCTGACTCCACTAGTGGTGTTACATCACATACAGTTACATACATTGGATTGCATTTGTAAGACCTAAACAATTCTGATTTTTGAAACATTAGGCACCAAGTGTTTTGGGTGAGGAATCACAACCCTGCTGTTGAAAATATCCATATTTAAGTCACATGTGCATTGATTAACCATTTGTGAGTTTGACTGGGAGGCTCACCACGGAAGGGATTGACTTACTAATGGACTTCTGCAACACAGCCCTTCTCTAAGCTTCTGCCTATAAAACCCAAGGAAGAGAAATTGTCAAAGCCCTGCCCTCTGTGATATGCTGGTGCTATTTGGGGGAAGTGCCTAGAAGGATACAAGGCTAAGGACAAGGAAACCTAACTTGAGAACAGCTGCAAACAACACAATCTAATTTCCATAATTAACGTTAAATGAGACATTTGGGAAAGGTGAGAAGCATAGTTCATTCCCCAGCTCCTTGAAGTACTTTTACATTTCTCTTTCTCTTTTGCAGCCATGGTTGGTGGAGAAGCTCAGTGGTGTGTGGAAAAAGGAGGCCCCAGAGCTGTCTTTCTTTATCCCAGGGCCGCAGCAGTTCCTCAGCTCATAAACAGCTGAGTCTTGGGGATTCTTCAATGCCTCTGCTTGGACTAGGCACTAGGAAAATTTGCTGCTGTAAGTTGTCACAACCTGACCACAGCTATCCTATATTTATCCTTCTGTTGCACAACTTCAAAGGTAAGTGTTTGTTTGAAATAGACTTTTTAAGGGAAAGGGAAGGCAGGACATAGAAGAGGGGCAGCACAGAAAAGACATGAGCAGAAATATCTTCCTGATGATTGATCAATCCCCCAAACGCAGACGGAATTCTGTATTTTCCCACCACAGGTGGTATTGCCCACCAAAATATTGGTTTTATTTTGGTTTTTCCTCTTATTTTCTGATGCAATTTGGCATGACTCACTTTGTGTTTCAGATGACAGGATGCAGAGAACTTAACAACTTTTGGGAAAATACAATAAAATCAGAATGAAAATTGAATATGATTTCTTGTGGTGCTCAACCAAGAACCAATATCCTTAGTCCATTCTGGTACATTTTTTTTCTAACTGTTTAAAACATAAAAATAACTAACTTGTATTTGTGCTGACCATGTGCCAGGCACAGTACTTGGCATTTTATTAATTTATGCCACACAACCACCTCATGTGGTGAGGCAGTAATTTTTTATTTTTTAAAAACTTTTAGGTTGGGGAGTACATGTGAAGGTTTGTTACATAGGTAAATTCATGTCATGGGGGTTTGTTGTACATATTATTTCATCACCCAGGTATTAAGACCAGTACTCAATAGTTTTCCACTCCTCTCCCTCCTCCCACCCTTCACCTCAAGTAGACCCCGGTGTGTTTCGTTCCACTCTTTGTGTCCCTGAGTTCTCATCATTTAGTTCCCACATATAAGTGAGAACATGTGGTGTTTGGTTTTCTGTTCCTGCGTTAGTTTCCTAAGGGTAATAGCCTCCAGATCCAGCCATGTTCTTGCAAAAGACATGATCTAGGTCTTTTTTATGGCCTGAGACAGTATTTTAAAAAACAGATGTATTGAGGCATAATTCACTTACCATAAGATCCACCCATTTAAAGTCTACAATTCAATGGTTTTTATTGTATTTACAGATATGTGCAATGCTCACTGCAATGAATTTTAAAGTAATCCATCACTCCAAAAAGAAACCCCATACCCATTAGCAGTCATTCCCTATTCCTTCTCCCCTCCGCCCCTGGAAACCTCTGGTCTATTTTCTGTATTTATGGATTTGCCTTTTCTGGGCATTTCATATAAATGGAATCATACAATATATGGCTATTTCTGAGTGGCTTCTTTTACTTAGCATCATGTTTTGGAGGTTTTCCATATTGTTGCATGGATCAGTACTTCATTGTTTTTAAGACTCAATAATATTCCATTGTGTTGGTAGATTTCATATTGTTTATCTACCCATCCATTGAAGGACATTTGGATTCTTTCCAGTTTGGAGCTATTATCAATAATACTGCCATAAACATTCGTATACAAGTTTTTGTGTAAACATATGTCTTCATTTCTTTTTGGTATAGACCTAGGAGTGGAAGAGACAGTATATTTATTGTCTTCATTTTACAGGAGAAGGAACATAACCACTGAGATCATATGTCTCTATTTCATCAGAAAGTCAAGGCATTCAGTCAGCTGATCTAGTTGAGCATAGTGGCTTTAAAGTCACACTGATGTGGGTTCAAATTCTGGCTTTGCCACTTAATCACTGTGTGACCTTTGGTAAGTCAGTTAATCTCCATGAAGCTTGGTTTTCTTTTCTGTGGAATGGCAGTGAAAACAATAGTAGCTATATCATGAGTCACTGTTGTTGTGAAGATTAAAGGAAATATTACATGTGATGTGCTGAGCATAAGACTTGCGTAGCACATAGTGTTGAGAAGGTTTTAGCTGCTATTATTATTAGCCTCTCCTGAGGCACCTAGAACATTACTGATAAAGCCTAGTTCAAAGTGATATTAACGATGAGCTCTGTGGTGTATGAATTGTCATTGAGTCCAGAAAAGGGTGAGAGTCTTCAGAAATAATTGCAGAAACTAAAGTAAGCATCTTCTAAGCTTAGAGACTGACATTTGGAAAGACATGCATGACTCAGAGTCAGGTTGACCCGGGGCAGAACAGCCCACGACTAAACTATCTGGAAGCACCACTCCAGATGGATTTTGTGGGCATGAACAGGGCCAGGAAGCCAACTCTATAGCCATCATAAAGGCTTCCTCCCAGCAAACCAGTGTTTCAGGAGGTCCAGACACATTGGTGAGGTTTCTCTTACATATTTGATAGGAGTGAAGTTGTGTAGTGCAGTGACTAATGGTAGGAACCCTCACACAAGACCACCTGCATTTAACCCTGCTTTACCACTTACTTGCTGTGGGAGGTTGGGCTAGTGACTTTATCTGTGCCTCAATTTCCTCATCTGTGAAGTAACTAATAACAGCCCCTACCTCACAGGGCTGTTATGAGAATTAAATGAGTCCATATACGTAAGATAGTAGGAACAGTACCTGGCACAGTGTAAGTCCTATACAGGTTCAATGTTGCTGGTATTACTATTGTTCTCTTGTCTTATAGCTGAGGGTCTTTCCAAGGTCCTATTGGCCCAGAGAAATGATGCTTATGTGGGTTGCTTCTTATTTCTATTACTGTTGCATAACAAGTGATGCCAAAACACAGTGACTTAAAATAACAACCATTTCATTAGACTCATTTGCTCCCTGTGGCATCAATTAATGTCATTCAGTAATATTCAACTTGTATATGGGCTAGTATGAAGAGTTCAAGATACCTTTACTCCCATATCTGGTGGCTCCTGGGGATGACTCAAAGATCAGGACTACCAGCAGAGGACTTTCACCTGGCCTGTCCTTGTGGCTTGGGCTTCCTTACCCCATGGCAGACTCAGGGTAGTCAGCCAGCCTCCTTCCATGGAAATTCAGGGCTCCTAATGCAAATGCCCCAGTGGATGGGCAGAAGCTGCATGGCATTCAATGACTTAGTATTGGAAGTCTTGCAGTGTCACTTCTGCCACAGAGCTTGTAAGTAATTAAGCCAGGATTTGAACCTAGGTCTGTTTGTCAGCAGAGTTTGTATTTGGAATGAGTCTTTCTCCTTACTCTAGGGAAAAATGGGATGTGTAGAAAGATGTCTCATTGGTATGGTACAAAGCTAACTGCATATGGCAATTTTCACTGAAATTATTCATTTTGTTTCCTCCCATGGTCACTTTATTACAAATAAATACAGCTGATGTCTCCACAGCATGTGATATGATTCTGGTAGAAGGGAAAGGAAATAAAAGAAATTCCTTTTTCTCAAAGACAATCAGGTTTATTCTTACTCCCAGAGAACTCATAGTTTTCACTTAACTCAAAAAGAAAAAAAGGAAAAGTACTAACCAAGAGCCAACTTGAGGAAGCAGCAGTTGGGAGCCATGAAGACATTTCTCTGAATTACCAAGTGTTGTGTGTAGGGGGAAAATGGATTTATTGAAATGCAAAAATATACAGTACACGTTATGCTGAAAATTGCCTATGTTGTAATTTAAATTTAAGGATGCTATAAAAAAATCAAATGTGGAGTAGGCCCACTTTCTCTATATTCAGATTGAGTCTGCCCTTATTACAATAATTACAGTACTGTGCAATCATTATTTAAAGGGATCAATGATTTTAATGTGACTGATGTCATATGTAGCACAGTCATTGGAAAATATTATGCTTGTGAATGAAACAAGGCCAAGAACTATTGAAATTCAGATATAGGCAGCTTTCTTTGTTTCATTAAGATGGCCTTGTCGGATAACACGGAAAAATGACAATTCATATCATCTGTTCCACTCTCTTAGTGCTTTCAGTTATGAATGTGAGCTTTACCAAGCCCTCAAGAAGAAGAGAGCTGAGAGTTTAAGGTTATTGTATTTTCTTAGGTTGTGGTTCAAGAGAAATTCTCAGTAGATTCAGAATCAGGTTATATTTATTTAGTACCTTTCCTGTCCCCGGCACCATGCTAGGCATTTTTACCTCACGTTTGCTTAATTAATCTTCCTAACAAACTGTTGGTGATCAGTATCCTTAGCTCTGGTTTTATAGTTGAGGCAACTGAGACTCAGAGCACCTTTTGGAGGGTGGGATACTGTGGCTTGTGCCCTGACCAAATTTATCTCTATCACTCTCATTCTACCCTTTCCCCATTTTCAACTGCTTCAGAATTCTCAGTTCTTCAGTGCACTCTGTTTATTTTCAGTTCTCAGCTTTAGATCTGTGGTTTCCCCTGCCTGGAAGGCTGTTCCCATCTTGCGGAGATCCTTTAAGTTTCCATTCAAAATGACTGTTGTCAAAGCCCTTCTCTGGTTCCTCAGATGGAGTTAGGCCTATCCTCTACCTGCTTCCAGAAAGCTCATGCTCCATATTCATTCCCAGTCCTTTGCAGACATGTAAGTATTAAAGTATCTGAGTGACTCTTCAGATGTTAGTTTGTTTCCCGCATTAGCATTATTACTGTAATAAGGCAGGGGTTTTTGTTTACCTTGTGCTTCACCACACCCTTGTACCTAGTCCATTTCCTGGCACACAGTAAGTTCTCAATAAACATAAATTGACAGGCTGATCCAGAGAAACTATTGACTTGCCCATAATCACACAACTGGTTTCTGCAACAGGGAAGAGCAATGAGCAAATTCATGATTCATCCTCCCATTTATACTCTAGCAAACAAGCTGATAGTTTTAGGATTAGGTTCTGCCTGGTTAGAAGTATGAATGTAAATAGCATTGGCTGAGTTAAATTTTCTGCATGAGAAATTGAAATAAAGTTTACCTTTTAAAGTTATTCATAGTAGATTAGTACAGTGGTCTGGAGCACAGTTTTTGGAGCCAAGCTGTCTTGGTTTGAACCAAGCGATATGTGACCTCAGACAAGTTACTTAAACCTCACTGTACCTTACTTTCCTCATCTGTAAACTGGGTACAATAATAATAATATCTGTCTCATAGAAAAGTTGTAAGGATGAAGTGATTTAATACAAGTAAAATGCTTAGAAACATGCCTGGCACATGGTAAGTGCTATGTAACTTCTGTTTGTAATGCATAGTATCCACCAGAAAAATCAAGTCCACCTAGAACCTCAGAATGTGATCTTATTTGGAAATAGGGTTTTTTGCTGATGTAGTTAGTTAAGAACCTCGAGATGAAATCATCCTGGATTTAGGATAAGCCTTGCATTCAATGGTTGGTGTTCTTATAAGAAGAGGAGAAGACACAGGCACACGGAGATGAAGGCCATGTGAAGACAGCGTCAGAGATTCGAGTAATACATCTATAAACCAAGGAATTCCAAGGATTGCCAGCAACTGTCAGATGCTACAAGAGAGGCCTGTAACATATTCATCCCAGTGAGGGTGAGAGAGGCCAGAGTGCCATGTGGTGACCTGAGGCCAGGTGCTTCCCCTGTTACCTCACTATCCCTGCCAGGGCCCAACTTGCAGGCCTCTCTGGCCAGAGGTTGTCTGCCCTCTTTTCTCAGCAATCCTGCTCTGTGTTCCCTTCTCTGCTTATCCTTCCATGGTAACTTTCCTTCCAGTGTTTCTTCCTTAGGACCTTGAGAAGCCTGGTCCTGAGCTTAACTATTTTCCTTACCTAACATCCTTAACTAACATCTTTCACAGAATGTCTGCCCAACTCCTGCCTTGCTTCAAATCTGTTTCCAGTGCAGGCTGCTGGTTTTCCATGAGGATGGGAGCTCTTTCCTCAGACCTCCATTGACACTTGTTTCCTATGGCAACTGTAACAAAGTTGTACAAATTACGGGCTTAAAACAAAAGAAATTTACTTTTCCACAGTTCTGGAAGTGAGAAGTTTGAAATAGGTTTTACTGGGCCAAAATCAAGGTGTCAGCTGGGCTGGACTCCCTCTGGAGGCATTCAGGGAGAATCCTTCCTTGCCCCTTCCAGCTTCTGGTGGCTGCTGGCATTCCTTGGTTTGTGGCCACATCATCCCAACCTCTGCCTGTTGGGCGCATTGCCTGCTCATCTTCTGTGTCTCTCCCTCTGCCTCTCTTATAAAGACATTTGCAGTGACATTTGGGGCCCATCTGGATAATCCAGGATCATCCCCTCATCTCAAAATCCTTAATTGAATTACATCTGCAAAATCCCTTTTGCCAAATAAAGTCACAATCACAAATTCTGTGGATTCAGATGTGGGCATGTCTTTGGGTTCCATTCTCAGCTTCCTACAATCCTTTCGACCCTCCTCTCCTCCTTTGTGGAAGATGTCCTCACCTTAGTACTGGACCACCTGCTGGCTGCAGTCATCTGTGTTGCCCTGCTCATGCCCTCACAGCTCATCGTTTGGGGTCTTCCTCTCCATTATAAGGTCTGCCAGCATCCTTCCTGGGTGGCTTCAGTGTTCTTGCAGAAAGCCTACCCATTACCCTGGTCTCACAGCTCTCAGACCCCTTTTGTTCTCATGGCCTCTGTACTCCAGAGGCTTCCATCTTCATAGTTAATTTCTCCTTTGAAATTTGAAACTTCAATATCTCATTCTCTTGCTACAACTACCAAACTATTCTGGTTTCTCATGTCCTTACTTCCCTCTTCCTGCTTTTATGATCTCAATTTGATCTCTGGTCCAGTTAGCCCTCTCTGACTTCACTGTCTTCCCTGTTCAGAAGTGGCCTAACACTCCAATAATCCATTTACCTGTTGCCAACTATGTATTGCATTTTTTATTTTGTGATACAGAACTCCAACTCTGGGAATCTGAACTATCTGGAGGTTTCATACATCAGAAACCTTGACCCCACCCATATCTTAGCCTACACTGTCTCTAGGCTTCAGATATTCTTAGTAGTTTTAATCTTTCCTAATGTACTTTTTATAAGGAGTATTTACATTTTTATAAGGAGCATTTACATTCCCATTATCCTATAGAGGAAAGTAGCAAGCTTGTCCTATTAAAATACAAAACAATGAAGCTGAACTGTGTGATATTTGAATACCAGCAGAACTTGGGTAAGGATTCAAATACTTTGAATCTAAATGGGCTGCTTAGTCTGTCCTTTTTATGAGAGGAGAAAAATAAACATGGTTAGAAAATGGCAGTTCTGTTTGAAAATAACTTTAACTCCATCAGTAGGTTTTTCCAGGTTGTGTTTGAAAAACTTCCAAAGAAAGATAGTTTCTTCATTTTGCAACCTCATTATACTGATGGAAAGAGGAATGGGAATGTTGGAGTCCAAACAGTTTTCAATGCCATGTGAGCAATGAAGGGCCACAATGCCATCCTCTGTCCCTTTGTCCCACCTTTACTACTGTAAATGGCATTTTGAAACAGCCCATGGCATTTTCATTGTATAATCTTGCCTCATCCCTTGCTATCCCCATTCCTTGACTCACACATGGGGACATTCCAGCAAATAGGACAAAATTAACCCAAAGAATCCCTGAGGCAGTAACATCAGACATCTGAGACCAACTTGGAAGGTTGTTCCCCTGGCATTTAATTCACCCTCCCCCTTCCATTCATCCTGCCAAGAACAGGACTTCAGCATTCTGGGGCTTCATGGAAGCTCCTTTTAGAGCTTCACTCCAGGATATGGATTTAAGTGTCTGTGTTGAGGTTAGGATTTACCTTGTGCAAAGTCCTGAGCTGGGTGCACAGAGATAATCAAGGACACAGAATCCTTCAGGGAGTTTACATAGTGATGTGGAGAGTGGAGACAGTAGCATGCTGGAACTGCCTTAAAGAGATTACAAGAGCTAATCATTACATTTTTAAGAATTCTGAGAGCTGTTTGTTAAATGCAATCACTATTAAAAATTCAATCATATAAACATATAATGAAATGCATTTTATTAAAAACAAAGTAAATTCATTACTTTCTAATTATTTTATGATATTATTTGTGCAGTTGGGATTATTTACATCTATTGGTGTAGTGGAAACAGTATATAGTCATTAACTACTGTGCAATCCTCACAACCCTACATTCAGTGACATCATATTGGTAGCTTGAAATTGACCATGGAGTCATGGTAGGAGTATTTACACCATTGAAATCAGCAAACGCTATAAATCAGGACTTCTTTCCAGAAAGTCAGTTATTCAACATTTACAGTGTCACCCCTGGTTGGGCAGGGAGGGAATGCCTTAGTAATGACTGAGTGCAATAATAGAAGCTCAAGCAAATTCTCTGTTTGTGTTGGGAAAATGCTTCAAAATGGTGATGATATTTGAGAAAGACCTTGAAGGATGAATCACATTTTATCTGGCAGAGATTGATAGGTATGGTATCCTTGAAACATAGAATAATGAGCAAGGTCATGGCAGGGATAAAGCATTGGACATACTTGAGCAATAGCCAGGAATGTATCTGGCTGACATACATGGCCTATGTAAGGCAGTAGGAAAATGAGGATAAAAAAGCCAGTCAAAGACTAAATGTAGAGGGTTTAAAAGCTACAGTTAGGAGCTTGAATAAAATTCAGAGGAAAATAGGGGGACAGGGGAGATTTTAGAGTGGAAGCAAAGCATCTTGAGAGCTGTGTTTTGGAATATTACTATACCAGGAGCATGCAATAGGGCCAGAAGCAGGAGGCTGATTAGGAAGTCACTCCCTCTGTACTGTGGAGCTAACAAGGACCTAAAGTGGGATTCTGACTCAGGAAGGAGAAAGGAGGCTTCTGATGCAAGAGACATTTTGAATGTGTGTTTCACAAATCTTGGCTAAAGTGTTGTTTCTATCTTTGAATGTTGCCAACGCTAGCTTTTGTATAAGTTTCTACTGTTATCTGAGTGGACTCTTAGCCATGTGATAAAAAATATATAGGTAGATATAAAATTCATGCTTTTAATGGCAACAATTGACAAGTGTTTCACTAGTTATTTTCTGATTCAACTTCCCTAAGGATGTGCCTAATATCTTCAATGTGCATTCAAGAGGATAAATAACAATATTTTAAATGTTTCATATGGTTAATCTAATTATAGGAGCCAATAGCCAACGTAGAAGTGTAGTAGGCAGCTTCTATGGCAATGGTTTCATAGCTTGACCTCTAGAAAATTAGTATAGAAAAAGATTAAACTGAGGCCAGGAAAAAAAATCTCTCTCTCTCTCCCTCTCTCCCTCCCCCCTCCCCATCCCCCTCCCTCTCTCCACCTCTCTCCCTCCCTCTCCTTCTCCCCTCTCTCCCTTCCTCTCCCTCTTCCCTCTCTCTTCTTCTCTCTCTCTCCCCCTCTCTTCCTCTCTCTCTCTCCCTCTCCCCCCCTCTCTCCCTCTCTCCCTCTCCCTCTTCCCTCTCTCTTCCCCTCTCTCTCTCCTCCTCTCCCCACTCCCCTTCTCTCTCCCTCACTCCTTATCTCCAAAAATTAAATAAATATTTTTTTCATTAGCAATACTCATGAAATTTTGCTGTGGAGACATGGAATTCCATGAGAGAAGTTTGGTTTCCTCACCATAGTCTGAGAGGGAGACCTGCATCCAGTATGAAATACTTCAATCTAGGAAGGATCATTTAGAGACAGGGTCTCTTTCTCTCTCACCCAGGCTGGAGTGCAGTGACACCATCATAGCTGTCAGCCTCAAACTCCTGGGCTAAAGCAACCCTCCCACCTCAGCCTCGCGAGTAGCGAGGACTACAGGCATGCCACTACAACCAGGTAATTTTTTAATTTTTCATAGAGATGAGGTTTTACTATTTTGCCCAGGCTAGTCTCGAACTCCTGGCCTGAAGCAATCCTCCTGCCTTGGCCTCCCAAAGCACTGGGATCATAGGTGTAAGCCACACCCAGTTCCAATTTTTCTGTCTTTCCCTTCTCCCCATCCCCTGTTCTTTATTGAAAACCCGGGTTTCTCAGTTGTTTCAAAAAGTGCCTGAAAGCTTTGCAAAGTTGTGGTTTAGAAAACTCATGGTTGGACTTCAGCAGACTTGAAGTTGGCATGTCAGACATCCAACCCTTAAAAACACCAAGTTCAACACTTCACTGCTGAGATTTCTTAGAAAAGGCAGCTCCCTATAGTCTTCCATCTTGAAATATAATGGAGATAAGGCTGCTACTGACACCGATTAAAGATGGTTGTGATTAAACTTGCTGATGTTTGTATGTGGAATTTACATTCGCCTTGGTGGGTGAGAAGAGTGTGTGGCAATGTTTCTTTTCAGTTGCAGGGGGAGCTTTGAAAATGCTGGGTGGGTTGGAACAGGGATACCTGAGGATATTCAGAAGAGGCAATGGGAAAGATTGGAGTGGATGTTCTAGAGGTAGAGTGGATAAGAACTGGAGAGGAATGGATTGGATATAGTGTGCTGTGGATGATGAGGGCCTGTGGTGTGGTGAGAGGCATTGGGTGGGCATGGATACTGTTCAGGAGGCAGTTAAATAATTGCTTTATTTCTTGCTGTCAACCTTTTGGAGGTGATACTGGGAAAAGACTATGAGAATGATCTGGCCCTGGACATAGTTTTTCTTAGAGAATGAGTCATTTATAGAAGATTGCTCTGAGAAATAAATTGGAGGAAAGATAACAATGGGTGCAGGTAGAACAACTTGGGGAACTATTGGTGACAGTTTTGGTGAGAGATGATGGGGACCTGGGGCTAGTGTATTGATGATGGAAATGGAGAACCTCAAAGGTGGAAGGCAATTGTGAAGATAGATGCTGAGTGACATGAGGGGAAAAGAAATTTAAGAATGAAATTTTAGAAAGAAGGCCTCTGATACATTTATTTGATGCCAAAAAGGGTCAGCTTCAGACAAAAAGCTGGGAAGCATGGCACCAGAATGGAGTGATTTAGGGTAATTACTCTTCCTCAGTTGTGGTCTGTGACTGTCAGAGGTCACAGGCAATGGGCAATCTTTGAACCCCATTTTCCTCTGAACTCTTTAGGAGCAGATGTGTTTCCAAACGTCAGTCTCTTCTGTAGTGGGCAACAACCTTTTCCCCTTTGTGTTTTGTTTTTTCCAAAACTTACCCCAAGACCTCACTTCACATAGTTTTCTAACCTCCTGATGTCATTTCCTTTGGGCTGTGCCCTGGAGAGGCCCAGAAAGCCTCAGCTGGGGAAAAGAGGGGTCTTTGATTAGAGCAATCTCCAGCACAAACACCTTGTCTTCCATTTGTATCTCGCTGGCTTTGGGAGCTACATGCTAACTTCCGTGGACAATTCAAGAAAACCTTTTTGTACGTTGTTTTCACAGGTAACCCAGTGACAATGTTCTCTTTACCTGAAGAAAGATTTGTGCCTATTGTCACTGTTCATAATTCACAGTACAAGCTTTACACCTCTGATTCTCATAGTAAAACTACCATTGCAGTGGAAATCTTTATATGACAGGATTCCCAAGCTTAATCAATGGCACACTTATTCCAAGTAGCAGTTGATGTCATTACTCTCGGGACAAAAAAAGCACTTGGACTACATCTAGGACTTCATAATAATCAAATTGGATATAAAATGAACCAATGCCAAGCCAGCTTTAATTCTCCGCTGTTTCAGACCATGGTTCTAACTGGGGGTTAGAGGGGATATCCCTCAAATTCTGTCCTTGAATGGTAACTACTGTATGAAAGTTTACCTTTTCCAATATCATGTTAAACATTGGAGACAGTCACCAAGTAATCTTTAGTATATCCTAAAGCCAAGCCTTGGACTGGCTTGTGTTAGTCCAAGGGTAATAACCAGGGAGCAATGAGAAGAAAGGAGGGGCTTGGCAGCAAGCAATATTAGTGGAAATTTTCTCCTCAGCAGGAGTTGGGAGCAACAAGGGGGCCTCTATAAGGACGTTTGTTTCTTGATCCTGGACATTTCAAAGACTGGGAGCCACGCAAGCCAGTATTGGAATTCTGATGGCGTGACCAGGGAATCAGTTTTCTTATCAACAAAACAAGGATACAAGATTTTCTCACAGTGTTCTTAGATTCCCCCATTCCATCACAAACTTATCCTTCCGTCAGTGCCTCATTGCTTCCCATCTCAGAAAATGGTACTACTGTCCAATCAGTTGCTCAATCCCAAAATGATTTACTCCTTTCTTGTCCCTCCCCCCACATCTAATTCATCAGCAAGTCCTGCAAATCCCACCTCCAAAGCATAGCCCAAGTTTACCTACTTCTTGTGAAAGATCTATATAATGAAAACTATAAAACACTGATGAAAGAAATTGAAGAGGACACCAAAAAATGGAAAGATATTTCATGTTCATGTATCCTAAAAATGTCTATACCACTCAGAGCAATCTACAGATTCAGTGCACTCCCTATAAAAATACTAATGACATTCTTCACAGAAATAGAAAAAACAATCCTAAAATTTATATGGGACCATACACAAAAGACCCAGAATAGCGAAAACTATCCTAAGCAAAAAGAACAAAGCTGAAGGAATCACATTACCTGACTTCAAATAATACTACAGAGCTATAGTAACCAAAACAGCATGGTACTGGCATAAAAACAGACACAGACTAATGGAACAGAGTAGAAAACCCAGAAGCAAATCCACACACCTATGGTGAATTCATTTCTGACAGAGGTGTCAAGAACATACACTGGGAAAAAGACAGCCTCTTCTATCAATGGTCCTGGGAAAACTGGATATCCATCTGCAGAAGAATGAAATTAGACCCCTATCTCTTGTGATATACAAAAATCAAATCAAAATGTATTAAATACATACATCTAAGATTATGAAACTACTACAAGAAAACATCGGGGAAACTCCAGGACATTGGCTAGGCAAAAATTTCTTGAGTAATAGCTCACAAGCACAGGCAACTGAAGCAAAAATGGACAAATGGGCTCACTTCAAGTTAAAAAGCTTCCAAACATCAAAGGAAACAATCAACAAAGTGAAGAGACAAACTACAGAATGGGAGAAAATATTTGTCAACTAGCCATCTGACAAGGAATTAATAGTGAGAATATATAAGGAGTTCAAACAACTTTAAAGGAAAACTAATAATCTGATTTTAAAACTGGCAAAAGATTTGAATAGACATTTCTCAAAAGAAGACATACAAATGACAAACAGGCATATGAAAAGGTGCTCAATATCATTGATCATCAGAGAAATGCAAATCAAAACTGCAATGAGATATCATCTCACCCCAGTTAAATGACTTCTACCCAAAAGAAAGGCAATAGCAAATGCTGGCGAGGATGTGGAGAAAAGGTAGCCCTTTTACAGTGTTGGTAGGAATATAAATTAGTACAACCACTATGGAGAACAGTTTGGAAGTTCCTCAAAACCTGAAAATAGAGCTACCATATGATCCAGCCATCCCACTGCTGGGTATACACCCAAAAGAAAGGAAATCAGCATATCAAAGAGATATCTGCACTCCCATGTCTGTTGCAGCACCGTTCACAATAGCTAAGATTTGGAAGCAACCTAAGTGTCCATCAACAGATGAATGGGGAAAGAAAATGTGATACTTACACACAATGGAGTACTATTCAGCCATATAAAAGAACAGAATCTAGTCATTTGGAACAACTCGGATGAAACTGGAAGATGTTATATTGCATCAAATAAGCCAGGCACAGAAAGACAAACTTCACATGTTCTCACTTATTTTGGGGAGCTAAAAATTAATACATTGAACTCATGGAGGTAAAGAGCAGAAGGATGGTTACCAGAGGTTGGGAAGGGTAGTAGTGTTCGGGGGTGGAGGTGGGGATCATTAATGGGTACAAAAAAAGTGGTTAGAGTGAAAAAACCGTAATATTTGATAGCACAACAGGGTGACTATAGTCAATAATAATTTAATTGTACATTTTAAAATAAGTAAAAGAGTATAACTGGATTGTTTTTAACACAGAGGATAAGTGCTTGAGAAGATGGATACTCCATTCTCCAGAATGTGATTATTATGAATTGCATGTGTGTATCAAAACATCTCATGTACCCCATAGATATATATGCCTACTATGTATTCACAACAGTAAAAATTTTAAAAATTAAAAAAAAAATTATTGTTGTAGACAAAAGTTTACCTACTTTTCTTCATCTCCTCTAGCCATGCACTATCTAGTTCCTGGACATATCTCACCAGACCTCCACCCTAACTGTTCTCCATTCACCCACTCTTATCCCCCTCCAATCTATTTCCCAGAGTAACCTTCTAAGAATTAAAATTGATTTACAATCCTCCAGTGGCTTGCCATTGCATTTAGAGTACAATCCATACTCCACACTCCTTTCCACTGGTTTCAAGGCCCTCACCAATCAGTTCCTGCCTGTCTCTCTGGTTTCATCTCATGCACACTTCCATCTGGCTCGCTAAGTTCCAGCCACCCTGGTAATATTCGTCCAGTTGCAAGAACACAGGTGACTCTTCCCTACATGAAAGCATTTGCCTGGCCGTTCCCTCCACCTAAAACACTCTTGTCCCTACACCAACCCACCTCCCATCTTTGCATGACTGGCTCTTTCAGGCCTCAACTCAAATATAACCCTCATCCGTATACACTCTATTGAAAGGAGCACCTGTCCCTTGACACAATCTATGGCATCACCCTATGTCAGTTATATTCATAGGACTTATCCTTTGTACTTATTTTTATTTGTGTGATTTTCATGTTTATTGCTGGCTTCTCCTCAGACCATATGCTGTGTAAGAACAGGGACCTTAACTGTCTTATTCCCATGGCTTTTCCAGCATCTAGAATGGTGCCTGACACATAGGAGGTACTGTATACATATTGGTTAGAAATGAATGAATGAATATAAATGAGTAAGATGAATACAATTTCGTGAGGATCAAGTGAAATAATAGAGGATGAAATCATCTGTAAACTGTAGAGTTCCATATTTTGCAGTTGTTTTTCTTTGTCCCATTATAATCCTTGTACTGCTTATTCTCAAGAACTCCTCTCCACGGAAGATGGAAAATGGTCAATTCTTTGCTACTGCTCTCTGCCTTATGCATTGGCCACACATGCTGTTAATTTGTTTGGTGAATTTTCAGTAGTTGCTTCTTCTGGGCCTCAGCATATCCAGCATTTATTTTGGCTTAATGATCCATCAGCCCATTTTATATTTCTGAACACTGTAAAGCCTGAATTATTAGGGGAAAGAATTAGAATTTACTTTAGGAGAGTTTGTTTATCCATTCACAGTGATTTTCTGTCCCTTTTCTAGGTAAGCTGGTTTAGAGATGCCTGAGGCCCATAAATTACAAATTTTAAGATGAACTGTGTCAACAGAGCCCTTTTTTCTTCCATGGTAGATAAAGTGACCAGTTGATTCTCTCTGTTAGAGAGGGTCTTTCAGAGAGCAGCTTAAAGACAAACCGCTATCATCTTTGTTTGAATAAATATTAAAAATCCTAGGGCTCTTCTCCCAAGGGTGCTGCTTATGCCTCCCAATTGTGTCCTTCCCCAAAGCATGGAATCAAGTACTTCCAATTGGTTGCTGAGTCACCTGCCGTGGGCCTCTCCAAATAGTAATTCTTACCTTAGCTTTTTCAGCCAAACCAATTCCTAACCTCATACCTAAAGGTACTGGTTGAGACGATGGCTGCTGCTGTCTTGAAAGGTAATGAGGGAGGCTGGGCTGCCTGGTAGACTCAACATCACCACAGTGGCAACAGTGACAGTGCCATGTCATCAGTATCACCGAGAATCTCATGTGCTTTCCAAAGCTTTCCCATAAACTGGATTTCCTCAGGGACAGTTTGAAGAAGCTGCCTCCAGAAAAGGATAGCTGGGCTATTTTCTGCCTGCACAGTGTATCAATAAGGGAAACTAATTGCATATTTGCTAAAGCCTCTAACCTTTGACTATGAGAAAAATCTAGAAATCCTAATTTCCAGCACTCAGGTGTTTGCTGCTCAGGGAACAAGATTATTTTTCTTGTTGGCCTTGAATTTCTGTTTACGTCTCTATAGATACATTTGTCTCATTTGTTTGAATTTAGATGTATCTCTCGGGAATTAGATTTTCTTTTGCCTGATTCCTTTGGTGTTTGTTGTTGTTGTTACCCATGGTAATCCTTACAGAAAGATATGATATCAGTTGCAGGATTGTGTTCATTTTCAATGAAATAAAAGCAGAGAATACCATAAAACTCAGGCAGCCCATGATGTGAGCTTCCAGCTACAAACTTCTTATAATCTTAATTATGATCTTTTGCATTTTTCATTGTTTATCACTTTTCAGATGACATTGTCAAATCAACTAAGACTCCTACAAACTTAAACATTTAAAAATCCTATTCTCTATCTGAAGAGACTGACAAATGATATCATTTATTCTGAGAGCCAATTGGGTTTGGGCTTCTCAGTCAACATATTTGCAATCATCTCTTGCCTTTTCACTGTTCATTTTAGGGATTACCATAGTTAGCATTCTGCCAGTCTTCACTAGAGAAATAAATGTCCCTCATGAAAGAGAAAGTGTGCACTAAACTGGAAACTGCTGCCTAGCTATAAAGATTCTGAGGGTCAGGGAAACAAAAATCTGAATCTTTGCTAAAGCAAGCTGTTCTGATCTATTTGCCGCGAAATCTCTCCTCACTGTTTCCTCTTTACCCCAATCTTGTTGTATATCCTTAAGTCCAATGCCTTATTGCTGTGAAGAAGAAATCCTCTTTTATAATGTGCATATATCCTTACGGTCAGGAAACAGCCTGGCCTGGCTGTAGCTGCAGGGGCTTCTGCAGGTCTGAGGTTAGTGGGAGGAATGTTTCATGCCCAGAGTATCTGGGACTAGGGAAGTCAAGGAAGGGTAGCTGAGGTCAGTACACCAAAGGGGAATAAACAGGTTACCAAAAGGGGAGAAAGGTTGAGATACTACTGTGGAGATAGAGAAGAATAGAGCTAGAGAGAAGAGGATTAGAGGCCATGGGTTGAAAGCTAAGTGAATGGGTGGGCCTGGGAACATTCTTTGTGGCAGAGGTACTGGGCTATGACTTGCATATGGCTTTTTATTTGAATTGCTTGTTATTTGCATGGGAGAACCTGATCAACTATATCCTGGACATGGCAAGAACATGCCTTCCTCTTATGATGAGCAAACTTTTGTGTATAGGGAAGAATTATTTTGGAAAATAAAGATACTCATCAACATCATTTCCCGATTAAAAATGAAAATTGCTATATAGTCTCATGGCAAAAATGCAAATACTTACAACTTAGATTACTTACTTTATTGAAGAGCTTCAGTGAGAAAATTGGCATTACTTTTAGTCACTGAAATTAATATCTGGACATAAACATTCCCTTTGAAAACTGGCACAAGACGGGGATGCCCTCTCTCACCACTCCTATTCAACATAGTGTTGGAAGTTCTGGCCAGGGCATTCAGGCAAGAGAAAGAAATAAAAGGTATTCAATTAGGAAAAGAGGAAGTCAAATTGTCCCTGTTTGCAGATGACATGAGTGTATATTTAGAAAACCCCATCATCTCAGCCCAAAATCTCCTTAAGCTGATAAGCAACTTCAGCAAAGTCTCAGGATAAAAAAATCAATGTGCAAAAATCACAAGCATTCTTATACACCAATAACAGACAAACAGAAAGCCAAATCATGAGTGAACTCCCATTCACAATTGCTACAAAGAGAATAAATACCTAGGAATCCAACTTACAAGGGATGTGAAGGACCTCTTCAAGGAGAACCACAAACCACTGCTCAACGAAATAAGAGGATACAAACAAATGGAAGAACATTCCATGCTCATGGATAGGAAGAATCAATATCATGAAAATGGCCATACTGCCCAAGGTAATTTATAGATTCAATGCCATTCCCATTAAGCTACTAATGACTTTCTTCACAGAATTGGAAAGAAAACTACTTTAAAGTTCATATGGAACCAAAAAAGAGCCCACATCACCAAGACAATCCTAAGCCAAAAGAACAAAGCTGGAGGCATCACGCTACCTGACTTCAAACTATACTACAAGGCTACAGCAACCAAAACAGCATGCTACCAGTATCAAAACAGAGATATATACCAATGGAACAGAACAGAGCCCTCAGAAATAATGCTGCATATCTACAACTATCTGATCTTTGACAAACCTGACAAAAACAAGAAATGGGGAAAGGATTCCCTATTTAATAAATGGTGCTGGGAAAACTGGCTAGCCATATGTAGAAAGCTGAAACTGGATCCCTTCCTTACACCATATACAAAAATTAATTCAAGATGGATTAAAGACTTAGATGTTAGACCTAAAGCCATAAAAACCCTAGAAGAAAACCTAGGCAATACCATTCAGGACATAGGCATGGGCAAGGACTTCATGTCTAAAACACCAAAAGCAATGGCAACAAAAGCCAAAATAGACAAATGGGATCTAATTAAACTAAAGAGCTTCTGCACAGCAAAAGAAACTACCATCAGAGAGAACAGGCAACCTAGAGAATGGGAGAAAATTTTTGAAATCTACCCATCTGACAAAGGGCTAATATCCAGAATCTACAAAGAACTTAAATAAATTTACAAGAAAAAGTCAAACAACCCTATGAAAAAGTGGGCAAAGGATATGAACAAACCCTTTTCAAAAGAAGACATTTATGCAGCCAACAGACACATGAAAAAATGCTCATCATCACTGGTAATCAGAGAACTGCAAATCAAAACCACAATGAGATACCATCTCACACCAGTTAGAATGGTGATCATTAAAAAGTCAGGAAACAACAGGTGCTGGAGAGGATGTGGAGAAATAGGAACACTTTTACACTGTTGGTGGGAGTGTAAACTAGTTCAACCATTGTGGAAGACAATGTGGCAATTCCTCAAGGATCTGGAACTAGAAATACTATTTGACCCAGCAATCCCATTACTGGCTATGTACCCAAAGGATTATAAATCATGCTACTATAAAGACACATGCACATGTATGTTTATTGCAGCGCTATTCACAATAGCAAAGACTTGGAACCAACCCAAATGTCCATCAATGATAGACTGGATGAAGAAAATGTGGCACATATACACCTTGGAATACCATGCAGCCATAAAAAAGGATGAGTTCCTGTCCTTTGTAGGGACATGGATGAAGCTGGAAACCATCATTCTCAGCAAACTATCACAAAGACAGAAAACCAAACACTGCATGTTCTCACTTATAGGTGGGAATTGAACAATGAGAACACTTGGACATAGGGCGGGGAACATCACACACCGGGGCCTGTCATGGGGTGGGGGGATGGGAGAAGGATAGCATTAGGAGAAATACCTAATGTAAATGACAAGTTAATGAGTGCAGCAAACCAACACAGCACACGTATACATATGTAACAAACCTGCATGTTGTGTACATGTACCCTGGAACTTAAAGTATAATAAAAAAAATTAACTACTCATATTAAAAAAAAGACTTTTTAAAAGTCGTTTTAAAGTATAAATACACACACACACACAAACAAAAGAGAACCTAATTTCCGTGGGGTTAGGTCTAAAATTTTAACCTAATTTCAATGGGGTTAGGCTTAAACATTCAAGTGTTTCATTGGCTATAGGATAATGTATAAAAGAAATGGCCACAGGTTAATATACAGCAGCATAAGTACAATAAAAGGAATGGAGAGCACCGCCCACACAGATTCTGATGGGGACGGCATCCCTGAAAATTGGGCAGTATAGTAGCCCTGAGTGAGCCTTAGCCGGTGCCCTGGGTGAATGACCAAGGTAGATAAGGATAGTGCTTCTGCATTCTTCAACTCTTCATTTATTCTTAATTTCTAAGAGAAGTGTACATCAGGAGACACAATGAAGAGAAATATGTGAAAAGGAGTGATTGACCTATTAAAATTAGAAGTTTCAAACTGCTAAAAGTAAAAAGGAGTGCAATTAATAGATGCACAGGGCCAAAATCAACTAGCACTGTTTCAGAAACTGGAATCTATGTTCACCCTAATTAGCATCCTCTGTAGCAAGAAGTCTTAACCAACCTTGACAGGAAGGAGAGTTTCAAAAACAAATGTGATTGATTGACAATGAATTTCTTTTCAGCACTTTTACCTCTGAAGTAGTTTTCTATGGAAATTTATGGCTTTATATTAATTATGAAGTTAAGAGTCGGTCTCTATAAAAAAAATCTTGAGAATTATTTTATTTAACACATATTTCTTCCATATCCCCCAGGAGAAAATATCTAGCAATTTCTTTTTTGTGTTTTTATTTTTAAAAATAAACTCACTTTCATATACACGCATATCTAGGGATTTATAAAAGAAAAACTCAAATCATAAATTTCTGGGACCTTATCTATTCTTTCCTTGATTATCAGAATATTAAATGTTGATGATTTTAAAAAAAACATCTGGACATATTTGAGAAATAGCACACTGGGAGGCAATCTTCTAATATTTCTCCTGAGATGACAGAACATGTCATAATAAGGACAGAAGCCCACCATTTGCCTACCAGTCCTGAGTTGCTCATCACTCTTGGGTATACTAGAAGGAGTGATGGATATACTCTAAAATGGTTCCTGACCAGATGCTGTGACATGCAGTGATTTCCAGAGCTCTGGAAATTAGACCTCATAGAGCAGGTGACATTTGAGAAAAGACTTACAGCAAGTAAGGAAGTGAGCTAAGGGGTTATCTGTAGATGAATATCTGAGACAGAGAGACCAGTAGGTACAAAGGTCCTGAGACAGAAATTTGACTGGCATGTTTGAGGAACAGTAAAGAGGCCAGTGTGTTATGTCCCCCAGGCATTATTCAGGTAGATGAGAGTGCTGCCAAGCAGGAAAAACCTTTGGCCAAACTACTTTTCATTGCTGTCATTGGCACCCTCTGAGGAGGCCCTCAGTGGGTGAGAGATGGGGGACTCTAGAGATCATGGGTGACAGTTAAAGGGAACATATATAGAAAATTGGGGTAAAAACCAAAGGCTTTGTAATTTTTTAAGTTGCTCTGAAGAAGACACTGTTAAGAGGATGAAGAGACAAGCCAAGACTAGGAGAATATATTTGCAAGTCACACATTTGACAAACAGCTTGTAAAGAAACACACAGAAACTCAACAATATAAAAAAAAAATTAAGGGCCGGGCGCGGTGGCTCACGCCTGTAATCCCAGCACTTTGGGAGGCTGAGGTGGGTGGATCACGAGGTCAGGAGATCAAGACCATCCTGGCTAACATGGTGAAACCCCATCTCTACTAAAAATACAAAAACAAAATTAGCCGGGCGTGGTGGCGGGCGCCTGTAGTCCCAGCTACTCGGGAGGCTGAGGCAGGAGAATGGCGCGAACCTGGGAGACGGAGCTTGCAGTGAGCCGAGATTGCGCCACTGCACTCCAGCCTGGGCGACAGAGCCAGACTCCGTCTCAAAAAAAAAAAAAAAAAAAAAAATTAAGGCAAAATATTTAAACAGACACCTCACCAATTAACAAAAAATTTAAGAGGGCAAAATATTTAAACAGACACCTCACCAATTAACATATGCAGATGGCAAAAAAGCACATAAAATTATGCTCACTATCATTTATCATTATAGAATTGTAAATCAAAATCACTATGAAATACCATACATACCTATTAGATTGGCTAAAATCCCCAGCACTGACAACACCAAATTTGGATAAGGATGCAGAGCAGCAGGAACTTTCATTCATTGCTGGTGGGAATGCAAAATGGTGTAGCCATGTTGGAAAGCAGTTTGGCAGTGTCTTACAAAGCTAAACTTTAGTCACTTTAATGTTACTTCAGCAATCACACTCCTAGGTATAATCCATAGTGAATTGAAAACACATATCCACAGAAAAACTCATGAATGTTCATAACAGTTTCATTCATAATCACTAAAAACTGGAAGCAATGCAGGTGTCCTTCAATAGATGAATGAATAAACAAATATGGTCCACCCATACAATGACATACTATTAAATCAGTCTGAACAGGCATGCTTCCATTTATATTGTACTCTGGAAAAGGCAAAATTTTAGAAAAAGAAAACAGATTCTTGCTTTCCAGGGATTGGGGAAGTAGGGAGGGTTGAACAGGTGAAGCACAAGAGATTTTATTAGGGTGGTAAAATTAATGTGTGTGAATTGTATTGGTGCATTTCACACTATGCATTTGTCAAAACCCACAGAACTTTATGGCATGAATAGTAAACGTTAATGTATACAAATTTTAAAAAATCATTTTGGAGATCAGAGAATCCCAGAATGGAATACAGAACAGGACAGAAGAACCCAACTGTATTATAAATGTATGAAATAACCTCACTGAAGGGAATGGGGGAAAATATGCTGCCCTAAGTAACAATGGAAATGAAGTCTTTAAGAATAAAGGCCAAATAAACTGCACCTAAGCACTAACTTCTAGTTAATAAAGTCGTTCCCCATAGAGGTATAGATTAACAATTATGACACTGCTATACATGTATACTTGATCAACTAAGTAAATTTATGGTAGACGATGGGAACCAGGATTTTCACTGTTGAAATGGGAGCTTACAGATAAGCAAGGGGAAGAAGCTAGAATGATCCATCTGATAATGAAATGGAGTTGGAGACATGGTATGAACTCATGTTTAGCTTAATTTAGATACAAATGGTTATATATAGAACTTTATGTAGATATGTATATATACAGGCATTAGTAGAGATATACACCTCCTTGCTCTGTTGGCTGAGAGTGCCAGTAGCAATGAGCATACTTAGTGCTCATATTTCAGTTTCTAATACCACCCTCCAATACAAGGAACCCAGAACTCCTTTGAGAGACAGCTGATTCTAGAACTGGGTCAGGAAATATCTAAGGTGACCCTGGGGCATTTCATAGTAACAGAAATTAAGGAAATACTTAAACAAATTTGATAGGTATATTACAAAGGGGCACAGGGGCCAAATGAAAGCACCCCTAATAGCTAAAGCCAGAACAATATAGCCAACAAAATAAAGTAATATTGGATTATAACTCAGAGGGTAAAGTAAATATCTATGAGTCCATACTGATAAAAATTAAAAGTTGTATAAATAAATAAATTAGGGAGAGAGACAATTCTCCCATTCAGAAGAATTATCTGGATACTCTGTTCTCCAAGAGGTGGAGCATGACTACGCACTCCTGCAGTGGGTGAGTAGTGGCTTTACAGTGGAAAAACTTGATATATGCTACATCAGCCAGGTCATCAAGGTTAACATCGACAGTGATAAATCATGTTGATAATATGTTCCATTGATATGATGTGACAAGAATGGCACTTTACCTCTGTGGTCTTCCTCCCAAAAACCCATAACCCCAGTCTACTCATGAGAAGAGCATCAGAAAAATCCCAATTGAGAGACATCCTGCAAAATACCTGATCAGTACTCTTCAAAAATGTCAAGATAATTAAAAAAAAAAAAAAAAAAAAAAGGAAAGCTTGAGAAACGGTCACAGCCAAGAAGATCCTCAAGAGACATGACCACTAAATGTTATTTGGTATCTTGGATGGGATCCTGGAACTGAAAAAGAACTTTTAGGAAAAATCTAAGGAAATCTAACTTAATAATAATGATGTGTTTATACTAGCTCATTAGTTGTGACAACTGGATTATACTAATGTAATTGGCAAACTGGGTGTTGAGGGTGGATATACACAGGAACTCTTCATGCTATCCTTGCAACTTTTCTGTAAATCTGAAAACGTTATGAAGTAGAAAATTTTATTTAAAACAAACAACAACAATAAAGCCTACTTAAGGCTTCTGGAGTCAGACTCACCTAGGTTTAGATCCTCCCTCTGCCACTTACTAGCTCTATGAACTTGGGCAAGGTACCACATCTCACTGGGCCTCTGTTTCCTCCTGCATAAAATGGAATATGAAAATCGACCTGATAGGGTTGTTGTGAGAAATGTCATGAGGTAAGTGTGATAGCATATATAATGCATATGGCTATTAGTTAGGAAGCACTCAATGAATGGAAGGTATGGTTAAAAGCCATGTGTGCTTTTGCTACCTGGTGGGGAGGCAGCAGCTTGTAGGGTTCCTGGAGTATGGCAGAAGAGATCGGTAAACTTTAGAAGAGAGCTGAAGCAGGAAAGAGAGCCAGCCAGGAGCATCTACCAGGAGCCAGAGTGTGGAGCTAGGAAATGGGAGCGCAGTTCAGATGAGAACAAGGAGCATAAATCAAAGGGGCTCTCAACATGAGGCTGAGCTGTTGCCCCAGCCTCATTTTTAGTTTCTCTCCATATTTTCGAACATGGGAAGGCCACCTGTGTTTAAAATCTCTCAGGTAGTGTAAGCCAAGTGAGGCAAACCCCTCAAAGTGGCACTGTCATTATCTTAATTGGTATTTCACCCGCTCCCCTCTTTTATTAGTTCAATCTTTTGGTCTGATTCAATCTTATGCCAACTTTTCTAACAGGATGAAAATAAGCCATGGCTTAGAGATCTGAAGATATGTTGCTTATTGATATTATTTGAAAGGAAGTGTCATTGATATTATATTATCCAGTCCCATCTTGGGAAATAGTAGAGAGGTTCTCAAAGTACATGGAGGCCAGGCTACAAATTTGCATGTACAGAGTTACTCTTTGAAAATGAGCTCTAGCAGTCCCTACTTCATTGATTTTGTGGTGCTTACTTCATTTACTAATTTAGTTTTTGCTTCATTAATTTGCTTAGAATTGCTTTAACATTTTAAATGCCAGCAGCAATTCCTCTTCCACAACTATACAATGAAAATGTGTGCTTGCATTTTCCCTTCCCATTTACTCTCTTACTTCTGCAATCTCATATGCACGCCACACTTGATTTTCCAATTTGCTAATTATCCATGGGAAATATTTGATCTCATGTTTATTCTCACTCTCCCTAACACAGGCTTCTAGTGGTTTTTATTCTTTTCCCTCTTTCTTTCAGGGGAAGAACCTAAAGAAGACCTAAAATGCTTTGGCTTCAAGATCAAGACTAATACCTCTCAATTAGATGTTTCTGAGACCTTTGAATATGGGTTCTTACCTCTTCTAAGAAAAGAACTGTGACATATTGCTCTTTTGAATTCACATTGTGACAACAATGTGATACATGCACAACTACTACGCAACAGGCACTAAATGCTACCATCACAAAATCCAAAGCTAGTAATGGGAGAAGGGAATTATAGAAAAATTCAGAGTCTGTACTTGGAAAGGATGTGCAGGCTCTACACTTTTCCATAAAATCTATGGCACTGGGCATGGCTAAGAGAAGATACAAAATAGGGAGAAGTCAGTTGTACAAGTTTAGTGCTGCATACCTATATGGACTCTCCCTGTAAGACAATAGCTACTCTGGAAAATGTGCTGGTATATTAGTCCATTTTCACACTGCTGATAAAGACATACTCGAGACTTGGAAATTTACAAAAGGAAGAGGTTTAATGGACTCACAGTTCCATGCAGCTGGGGAGGCCTCGCAATCATGGCATAAGGTGAAAGGCACGTCCCACATGACAGCAGACAATAGAAGAGAACTTGTACAGGGAAGCTCTCCTTTATACAACTATCAGATCTCGTGAGACTTACTCACTATCATGAGAATAGCATGGGAAAGACCCGCCCCCATGATTCAGTTACCTCCCACTGGGTCCTTCCCATGACACATGGGAATTCAAGATGAGATTTGGGTGAGGACACAGCTAAACCATATCAGCTGGTTTTCTTAGCTCTCAGGGGATTCAAGTTGCCTAGGAGCAAAAAAAATTCCCATTCTCTCATTACTGCACAGCAGATGCTGTTCATTGATGGCAGAGCTGAGCTATGAGGAGTCTCAAGACCTTCTTCAGTGGGCCTTCATAATTTAGACTTAATTATATACTCTTAGTGCTGCCTGGTACTTTTTTTTGAAAGAACATTTTTTTGATGCAACCCACAGCTGAAATCAAAGGCTCAATTTAGTGTGTTTCCAATGAAATATCATATATTTGAGGAAATTACTAGGGGGAAAGCCCAAATACCATACTGGATGGATGACTTGTCTAACCACGCAGGGGCTTCCCATTTGTGAAATAGACCACTGTAATGTGTGTTTCTTGGCAGGGCTGATGTCTTAGTTTTTTAAAAAAAATTCCTAGTACATATGGGGGCACTCAATCTTTGAAGAACAAATGAAGCTATCATAGAAATGTGATGTTTATTACATATGTTACAGAAATTGGAATATTTTAAAAGTTTTAAACAAATTTGCTTCCTAGCTAAAGACAGAGTAAAGAAAGAATAAGTAGCAGAGTAATAAATTTCTTTTGTTTTTTTCTTCAATTTTTATTTTAAGTCCCAGGGTACATGTACAGGATGTGCAGGTTCATTACATAGGTTGACATGTGCCATGGTGGTTTGCTGCACTTATCAACCCATCACGTAGGTATTAAGCCCAGCATCCATTAGCTATTCTTCCTGATGCTCTCCCTCCCCCCACATGCCCCTTCCTACAGGCCTTGTGTGAACCCCAGTGTGTGTTGTTCACCCCCATGTTTCTATGTGTCCTCATTGTTCAGCTCCCACTTATAAGTGAGAACGTGCAGTGTTTGGTTTTCTCTTCCTATGTTTGGCAAAGTGATAAATTTCTATCCTGTGCAAATGACAGCCTGTGCTGAGGACAGCCTCTTAACAATGATAGCTGCTTTATTTCCTAAGTAAGTTTGATAATTACAAATCAGACATTCATAATAAAGCCAGGATCATCCCATTTTTCTTTGGTTTAAGACGTTTCATAAGGCAGGAGGATATAATTAAACAATGATTGGCTTTTGGACTAAGAATATACTCACAAACACCGTGAATTAATTAAAAAAACAAAATAATTTGAGCATTTTTTCCTGCTGTGGCTAATATTTGACATTTGGTACATTCATTGTAAAGTTATCAATTCCAATTTTTACTGCAAACTGAAATGGCTATTTTTTCTTTCTTTCTATTTTTAATTTTAAGCAAATGTACCAGTATTATTTTCTTTCTAAATGAGTATTATCCTTCAGACTAGTCTCCTCACTGAAAATACACTCATTCCAATGATGTCCCAATTGTTCAAATCGTTTTTGTTGCTACTCTCTTCATTCATTTATTCCGTAAGAGTCTGTGCCAGACACTATGGTACATCCTGGAGACAGAGTGGAGAGCAACGCTTGGCCTCTGACTTTCCAGAGTTTTCAGTCTAGTCTCATGGTGCTGCCCTCAAGACAGTTGTGGTTCTCATAGGAAAACCACTCATTTAATAGTTTCTTTCTCTCGCTAAATCTTTTCTGTCAGCCTGATTACAGAACCGATATACATGTATCTGAATGAGTGTTTACAAATCAAATAAAACCAAAAAAGCAAATTACCACCTTAGTAGCCTTACTTCTATCCATTAGTCTCCCTCCTCTGGGTTATCCCCACTGGTCTCCCTGCTCACTACCTTAATCCACTACCATTTAAAACCCTTTAAAAATTTTTATTTCTTCATTGTCCTTAAGAGAGGGTCAACACTACCCTTCTGATCTCATCTCTTGCCTCATCTTCTTTTCAAGTTTAGCAATCTAGGCTACCTCTGTGATGGGCATTATCTGAGACCTTGCAGATCTCAGGCTACTCTTCTGTTGCTTTTACATGTGAAAGACAGCTTTGCTGGGTCTAAATCCTTAGGCCACTGTCATTGTCCCTCAAAACCTTGTAGACACTGCTCCTTTGTTTTTTGGTGTTTTTTTTTGTTGTTGAAATGGACAAATAATAGATAACTTGATTTGAGTCTTTGTTTGCTGCTTGAGTGCTGGCAGGAATCTTTTTAATAATAATTTATCAGGATATATCTGGATTATATATCGATCTTAGTTCAATTTTGTCTGAAATGTGGAAAATGGCAATCCTCTCCAAATCCAATTTCAGATAATTTTTCTGAACTGAAAATTTTCTTCGATTATAACTTTGATTGTTGTTTCTAATCCATTTGCTCCATTTATTTCCTCAGAAGCAACTGGTACTGGTAGGTAGAATATGTCACCTATCTTCCACAATGGGTATTTTGTTCTCTAATCCCTACCAAGCATTTTCGAGATGTTTTTCGATATAATTCTCTGTTTCAATGATTCAGCTTTCTGTTGTGTCAAGTCTACTTACTCCTTTTGATTTATTCTTTCATCTTGATTATTGCATTTTTCTGTTTGGTTGCATCATGGGAATCTGGGATGGAAGATTGTATACATTCCTAAATGATCATGGAATGTGTTTGCTCCTTTATTTTCACTTTTATTGCAGAAAAACCTCATTTTTTTTCTGATTGTCTCATACCTGTATTAAAGGCAATTTGGGAGGTTTTCTGGTGACCTCACTCATCTCATTGCCTTCCTGGAGGACAGATGTATGCATTTAAACCCAACATAAATGCTGAATTCTGTGAATTTTATTAGCATATCTTTAAAAGCACCAACATGCATTTACTGCAACTGCATTAGCCATAACCTGGATAGGTCTCCCATATTTTGTAACTATGTTCACAGTCCTTTTCTATAAATTATTGTACTTTATGTTGATTCTTATTTTTAAATTAAAAAATGCATAACTAAAACTCATTTTTACTCTCCATGTTCTTGATGTTTTCTTGATCTTTCCATGTCTCTTTACCATGTCTCTTAGTAAATGTAGCACCTTATATACATCTGCTAATAGCTCAATTAAAACACTACATTAAATTTTGGTCATTAATTTTATTTCCTTCAAAATGAAGATAACTTTTTTTCTGATCACAAAAGTAATACATACTCTATAAAAACTCGGGCAATATAGAATCAGTTCACGTGTTTTGAAAAGAAGTTCATAGAAGGGAAAAATGATATAGGTGATAATGGTTCGATTTCTAGGGAGAAATTGATGGAACTAAATTATGCCACCTAGGAAAGAAGTAGTTAGACACGTAGGTGCTGTTTTATTCATTTTTTGAAATTCTTAAGATAATGTCCAGGCTCTTAGAAAAGGAAGAAAATCTTTTGCCTGATAACTCTCAGAAACTGCTAAATACTTAGGAAATACAGTTATGCAAGGCTCAAAGAATATGTAGTTCAACTATCTATTTAAAAATCAGATGTTGTACATGTTTCTAACTATCTGAAATGCCTGCATGTTTATGATAGAGGGAGCATTTAATGGGGTTGGACAGACTGGATTTCCAGACTCCAAAATACAGATGACGAATTGCAAATTCCTTCTACTTTATCCCTATGGGTTATGGTTTCCTCCTTAAAAGCTGTATTTGAATGATATATAGTGGCTGGTAATAGCATCTAGCTCCAACCTTGGAACTCCCTTTGGAACTCTGTAAAGCTTATGGTTTTTGTTCATATTCCTTTCTTTTAAAAGAATAGATCCCATGTTCTATTCTGAAGGACTATTAGTTGGAGCAGCAATTAGTAGGACTATTAATAAGTCCTTTCAAATATAAATGTGTACGTATGCAGTTACAGACGTGACTGTAAATATGAAATGCATATATAAATAATGCATATTTTCAAACAAAATGCAAACTTTTCTTTTTAATTTTTTTAAATTAATAGATACAACTGTACATATTTGACATGGCAACATGATGCTTTGGAGTATACCTACATTGAAGAATGACTAAATCTAGCGAATTAAGATATGCACTACCTCACATAGTTATCATTTTTGTGCTGAAAACATTTTGCATCCGCTCTCCGTATTTTTCAAGAATACATTATTAACTATATTTACCATGTTGTACAATAGATCTCTTGAACTTATTCCTCTTATTGAATTGAAGTTTTATATCCTTTGACCAACATTTCCCCAGCCACACTATAGCCACCTCAGCCTCTGGTAATTACCATTCTACTATATTTCTATGAGGTCAACTTTTTTAGCTTCCACATATGAGGGGGATCGTGTGGTATTTGTTTTTCTGTGTCTGGCTTATTTCACTTAGGTAATGTCCTCTAGGTTCATCCGTGTTGTTGCAAGTTACACGATTCCTTCTTTTTTATGACTGAATAGTATTTGTTTGTGTATATACCACATTTTCTTTATACAGTCATTAATTGGCAGACACTTAGGTTGATTCTATATCTTGGCTATTGTGAATAATGCTGCAATGAATATGGGAGTGTAGGTATCCCTTTGACATACCAATTTCATTTCCTTTGGATATATACCCAATAGTAGGATTGCTAGATCATATGATAGTTTTATTTTTAATTTTTTGAGGAATCTCCATACCATTTTCCATAATGGCTCGACTAATTTAGATTTCCCCCAAGAGTATGCATGTGTGTCCTTTTCTCCACATCCTTTCCAACACTTGTTATCTTTTGTCTTTTTGATTATAGCCATTCTAACAGGTGTGAGGGGATATCTCATTGTGGTTTTAATTTTCATTTTCCTCATCATTAACAATGCTGAGCATTTTTTCAAATAACTGTTGGCCAGTTCTATGTCTCCCTTTAAGAAATATCTACTCAGGTCTTTTGCCCATTTCTAAATTAGATTACTATTTTTTTTCTTTTGCTATGGAGTTGAGTTCCTCATATATTTTGTATGTTAACCTCTCATCACATACATAATTTGCAAATATTTTCTCCCATTCTATAGATTGTCTTTTTACTCTGCTGATTTTTTCCTTTGCTGTGCAAAGCTTTTTAATTCGATGCAATGCCATTTGTCTATTTTTGGTTTTGTTGCCTGTGCTTTTGTGGTCATATCCAAAAATTATCAGCCAGAACAATGTCATGGAGCATTTTTCCTATGGTTTCTTCCAGTAGTTTCATAGTTTTGGGTCTTTCATTTAAGTCTTTCATGCAAGTCTTTCATGCAGGTTAAGTTGATGTTTATATATGGTGTGAGATAGGGCCTAATTTCATTCTTCTGCATGTGAATATCCAGTTTTCCCAACACCATTTATGAGACTGCCCTTTCCTTATTTTATGTTCTTGATACCTTTGTGGAAAATTAATTGGCTATAAATGTGTGAATTTATTTCTGAGTTGTCTATTCTGTTACATGTGTCTGTTTTTATGCCACTCCTTTTCTGTTTTGGTTACAATAGGTTTGTCATATATTTTGAAGTCAGGTAGTGTGATGCCTTAAGTTTTGCTCTTTACAGTGAAGATTCCTATGGCTAATCAGGACCTTTGTGGCTCCCTATGACTTTAAGGATAGTTCTTTGTATTTCTGTGAAGAATATCATTGTTATGTTGATAGAAGTAGTGTTGAAACTGTGGATAACTTTGGGTAGTACAAATGTTTTTAAAATATTATTTCTTCCAATTTGTGTACAGGTGATAGCTCTGCATTTATTTGTGTCTTTTTCTTTCATCAATATGTCATTGCTTTCAGTGTACAGATGTCTTACCTCCTTGGTTAAATTTATTCCTAAGTATTTGTGGAGTTTTGGAAATGAGATTGTTTTCCTGATTTCTTTTTCATATTGTTTGCTGATAGTGTATATAAATGCTACTGATTTTTGTATGTTATTTTGTATTCTGTAACTTTACTGAATTTGTTTATTAGTTATAACAGTATTTTGGTAGAGTCTTTAGGGTTTTCTATATATAAGGTCATGTCATCTGGAAACAGGGATAATTTAAATTCTTCCTAATTTGAATGCCTTATATTTCTTTTTCTTGTTTTATTGCTCTGGCCTCAGACCTCTGTTACTATATTGAATAAAAACGGCAAGAGTGGGCTTCCTTTTCTGATATGGTTTGGCTGTGTCCCCACCCAAATCTCATCTTGAATTATAATCTTCAAGTGTCCTGGGAGGAACCTGGTGGGAGGTAATTGAATCATGGGGCCAGTTTCCCCCATGCTGTTCTCATGATAGTGAGTGAGTTCTCATGAGATCTGATGGTTTTATACGTGTCTGGCATTTCCCCTGCTGGCACTTCTCTCTCTTGCCACCATGTGAATAAGGACATGTTTTCTTCCCCTTCCACCATGATTGTAAGTTTCCTGAAGCCTCCCCAGACACGTGGAACTGTGAGTCAATTAAACCTCTTTTATTTATAAATTACCCAATTTCAGGTATTTCTTCATCCCAGCATGCGAATGAATTAATACAGTAAATTGGTATCAAGGTAGTGGGGTGCTGCTATAAGGATATCAAAAAATGTGGAAGTGACTTTGGAACTGGGTAACAGGCAGAGTTTGGAACACTTTGGAGGGCTCAAAAGAAGACCGGAAAATGTGGGAAAGTTTGGAACTTCCTACAGACTTGTTGAATGGTTTTGACCAAAATGCTGATAGTGATATGGACAATGAAATCCAGGCTGAGGTGGTCTCAGATGGAGATGAGGAACTTGTTGGGAACTGGAGTAAAGGTCACTCTTTCTATTCTTTAAGAGACTGGAGGCATTTTGCCCCTGCCCTAGAGATCTGTGGAACTTTAAACTTGAAAGAGATGATTTAGGGTATCTGGCAGAAGAAGTTTCTAAGCAGTGAAGTGTTCAAAAGGAAGCAGAGCATAAAAGTTTGGAAAATTTGCAGCCCAACAATGCAATAGAAAAGAAAAACCCATTTTCTGAGGAGAAATTCAAGCTGGTGGCAGAAATTTGCATACATAATGAGGAGCTGAATGTTAATCAACAAGACAATGGGGAAAATGTCTCCAGGGCACATCAGAGACCTTTACAGCAGTCCCTTTTATCAAAAGCCCAGAGGCCTAGGAGAGAAAAATGGTTTCCTGGCCAGGCCCAGGGCTCCTCTGCCCTGTGCAGCCTCAGGACATGGTGCCTTGCATCCCAGCTGCTTTAGCTCCAGTGGCGGATAAAAGGGGGCAAGGTACAGCTTTATCCATTGCCTCAGAGGGTGCAAGCCCCAAGCCATGGTGGCTTCCATGTGATGTTGAGCTTTTGGGTACACAGAGGTAAAGAATTGAGGTTTGGTAACCTCCACCTAGATTTCAAAGGTTGTATGTAAATGCCTGGATGTCCAGGCAGTAGGTTGCTACAGGGGTAGAGCCCTCATGGAGAACCTCTGGTAGGGCAGTGCAGAAGGGAAATGTGGGGTTGAAGCCACCACACAGAGTCCCCACTGAAGCACTGCCTAGTGGAACTGTGAGAAGAGGGCCACTGTCCTCCAGACCCCAGAATGGTAGATCCTCTGACAGCTTATACCATGCACCTGGAAAAGCAGCAGATACTCAATGCAAGCCCATGAAAGCAGCTGGGAGGGGGGCTGTACCCTGCAAAGCCACAGGGGCAGAGCTGCCCAAGGCCATGGGAGCCCACCTCTTGTATCAGGGTGATCTGGATGTGAGACATGGAGTCAAAGGAGATCATTTTGGAACTTTAAAGTTTAATGACTGCCCTATTGGATTTTGGACTTGCATGGGGCCTGTAGCCCATTTGTTTTCACCAATTTTTCCCATTTGTAATGGGTGTATTTACTGAATGCCTGTACCCCCATTGTATCTAGGAAGTAACTAACCTGCTTTTTATTTTACAGGCTCACAGGTGTAAGGGACTTGCCTTGTCTCAGATGAGACTTTGGACTTGGACTTTTGAGTTAATGCCGGAATGAGGTAAGACTTTGGGGGACTGTTAGAAAGGCATGATTGTGTTTTAAAATATGAGAGCATGAGATTTGGTAGGGGCCAGGGGCACAATGATGTGGTTTGGCTGTGTCCCCACCCAAATCTCATCTGAATTGTAATCCCCACAATCCCCACATGTAGAACCTGGCAGGAGGTAATTGAATCATAGAGCCAGTTTCCCCCATAATATTCTCATGATAGTGAGTGAGTTCTCATGAAATCTGTTAGTTTTATAAGTGTCTGGCATTTCCACTGCTAGCATGTCTCTCTCCTGCCACTATATGAAGAAGGATGTGTTTGCTTCCCCTTCTGCCATGATTTTAAGTTTCCTGAGGCTTCCCAGCCATGTGAATCTGTGAATCAATTAAACCTTCTTTCTTTATAAATTACCCAATCTTGGGCATTCATAGCAGCATGAGAATGGACTAATACAGTTTCTTATTTTGAATCTCTGGGGAAAAGCTTTCAAATTTTCCTGTATGAGTGTGATGTTAGCATATAATATGTGACCTTTATGATATTGAGATATACTGCTTTTATATCTAATTTGTTAAGAGTTTTTACTATAAAAGGATGTTGAATTTTTTCAAGTACTTTTTCTGCATCTACTGAAATGTTTTTTCCTTCATTCAGTTAGTGTGATGTGTCACATTTATTTATTTGCATATGTTGAACCATTTTGCATCCCTGGTATGAATCCCACTCAATTACGGTGAATGATCTTTTAAATGTGCTATTGAAGTCAGTTTGCTATAATAGTATTTTGCAGAATATTTTTGCATCTATGTTTCTTAGGGGTTTTGGCCTGTAGTTTTTTTTTTTTTTTTTTCAATGTCTTCATTTGACTTTGGTATCAGGGTGATGCTGGCCTTGTAAAATGATTTTGGAAGCATTCCCTCCTATTTGATGCTTTTAGATGATTTGGGAAAAATCGGTATTTAAAAAAAATTTGGAAGGATTCAGCAGTGAAGCCATCATTTCCTGGGCTTCACTTTGATGAGAGACTTTGTATTATTGATTCAATTGCTTTACTCATTGGTATGTTAGGATGTTTTATTTCTTCACAATTAAGTCTTTGTAGGTTGTATGCATCAAGGAATTTATCCAAGTCTACTGGGTTATCTCATGCACTGGTGTATAAGCCTTCGAAATAATCTCTTATGATCCTTTGCATTTTCGTGTTATCAGATGTAATGTCTCCTTTTTCTTTTTTTCTCTCTCTCTTTTTTTTCATTATACTTTAAGTTCTGGGATACATGTGCAGAATGTACAGGTTTGTTACATATCAGGAGAAATTCAGCCCTGATATTTCATGTATGAAATATCATACGTTCTTTTCTATTTTCCCTAAGTGTTGGCTGGTCTGAGAAATAAAGGGACAGAGTACAAAAGAGAGAAATTTTAAAGCCGGGTATCCAGGGGAGACATCACAAGTCGGCAGGTTCCATGATGCCCCCCGAGCTGTAAAACCAGCAAGTTTTTATTAGTGATTTTCAAAAGGGGAGGGAGTGTATGAATAGGGTGTGGATGACAGAGATCACATGCTTCACAAGGTAATAGAATATCACAAGGCAAATGGAGGCAGGGCGAGATCACAGGACCACAGGACCGGGGAGAAATTAAAATTGCTAATGAAGTTTCGGGCACGCATTGTCATTGATAACATCTTATCAGGAGACAGTGTTTGAGAGCAGACAACCAGTCTGACCAAAATTTGTTAGGCAGGAATTTCCTAGTCCTAATAAGCCTGGGAGTGCTACGGGAGACAGGGGCTTATTTCATCCCTACAGCTGCAACCGTAAAAGACAGCCACCCCTGAAGTGGCCATTTCAGAGGCCTACCCTCAGGGACGCATTCTCTTTCTCAGGGATGTTCCTTGCTGAGAAAAAGAATTCAGCGATATTTCTCCCATTTGCTTTTGAAAGAAGAGAAATATGGCTCTGTTCCGCCCGGCTCATCAGCTGTCAGAGTTTAAGGTTATCTCTCTTTTTCCCTGAACATTGCTGTTATCCTGTTCTTTTTTCAAGGTGCCCAGATTTCATATTGTTCAAACACACATGCTCTACAAACAATTTGTGCAGTTAATGCAATCATCACAGGGTCCTGAGGTGACATACATCCTCCTCAGTTTACGAAGATGATGGGATTAAGAGATTAAAGTAAAGACAGGCATAGGAAATCACAAGGGTATTGATTGGGGGAGTGATAAGTGTCCATGAAATCTTCACAATTTATGTTCAGAGATTGCAGTAAAGACAGGTGTAAGAAATTATAAAAGTATTAATTTGGGGAACGAATAAATGTCCATGAAATCTTCACAATTTATGTTCTTCTGCCATGGCTTCAGCCAGTCCCTCCATTCGGGGTCCCTGACTTCCTGCAACATCTACATAAGCATATATGTGCCATGGTGGTTTGCTGCACCCATCAACGCATTATCTACATTAAGTATTTCTCCTAATGCTATCCCTCCCCTAGGCCCCCACCCCTCAACAGGCCCCAGTCTGTGATGTTCCCCTCCCTGTGTCCATGTGTTTTCATTGTTCAACTCCTATTTATGAGTGAGAACATGTGGTATTTAGTTTTTCTCTTCTTTTGTTAGCTTGCTGAGAATAATGGTTTCCAGCTTCATCCATGTCCCCACAAAGGACATGAACTCATCCTTTTTATGGCTGCATAGTATTCCATGGTATATATGTGCCACATTTACTTTATCCAGTTTATTATTGATGGGCATTTGTGTTGGTTCTAAGTCTTTGCTATTGTGAATAGTGCTGCAATAAACATACATGTGCATGTTTCTTTACAGTAGAATGATTTATAATGCTTTGGGTATATACCCAGTAATGGGATTGCTGGGTCAAATGGTATTTCTGGTTCTAGATCCTTGAGGAATTGCCACAGTCTTCCACAATGGTTGAACTAATGTACACTCCCACACACAGCGTAAAAGCGCCTCCTATTTCTCCACATCCTCTCCAGCATCTGTTTCCTGACTTTTTAATGATCGCCATTCTAACAGGCGTGAAATGGTATCTCATCGTGGTTTTGATTTGCATTTCTCAAATGAGGTGATGCTTAGCTTTTTTTCATATGTTTGCTGGCTGCAAAAATGTCTTCTTTTGAGAAGCATCTGTTCATATCCTTCAGCCACTTTTTGATGGGGTTGTTTGTTTTTTTTCTTATAAATTTGTTTAAGTTTCTTGTAGATTCTGGATATTAGCCCTTTGTCAGATGGATAGATTTCAAAAACTTTCATCCATTCTGTAGGTTGACTGTTCACTCTGATGACAGTTTCTTTTGCTGTGCAGAAACTCTTTAGATTATTTAAATCCCATTTGTCAATTTTGGCTTTTGTTGCCATTGCTTTTGATGTTTTAGCCATGAAGTCTTTGACCATGCCTATGTCCTGAATGGTATTGCCTAGGTTTTCTTCTAGAGTTTTTATTGTTTTGGGTCTTAGGTTTAAGTAGTTAATCCATCTTGAGTTAATTTTTGTATAAGGTGTAAGGAAGGGGTCCAGTTTCAGTTTTCTCCATATAGCTAGCCAGATTTCTCAACACCATTTATTAAATAGGGATTACATTTATTGATTTGCATGTGTTGAACCAGCCTTGCATCCCAGGGATGAAGCCGACTTGATCATGGTGGATAAGCTTTTTGATGTGCTGCTGAACTAGGTTTGCCAGTATTTTATTGAGGATTTTTGCATTGATGTTCATCAGGGATATTGGCCTGAAACTTCCTTTTTTGGTGTGTCTCAGCAAGGTTGTGGTATCAGGATGATGCTGGACTCATGAGTTAGGGAGGAATCCCTCTTTTTCTATTGTTTGGAATAGTTTCATAAAGAATGATACTAAGTCCTCTTTGTACCTCTGGTGGAATTTGGCTGTGAATCTCTCTGATCCTGGGCTTTTTTTGGTTGTTAGGGTATTAATTACTGCCTCAATTTCAGAAGTTGTTATTGGTCTATTCAGGGATTCGACTTCTTATTGGTTCAATCTTGAGAGGATGTATGTGTCCAGGAATTTATCCATTTCTTCTAGATTTTCTAGTTTATTTGTGTAGAGGTGTTTATATTATTCTCTGATGGTAGTTTGTATTTCTGTGGGATCAGTGGTGGTATACACTTTATCATTTTTTATTGTATCTATTTGATTCTTCTCTCTTTTCTTCTTTATTAGTCTGGCTACTGGTCTATCTATTTTGTTAATCTTTTCAAAAAACCAGCTCCTGGATTCATTGATTTTTTTGAAGGATTTTCAGCCTTTTTGCACTGGTTTTTCCTCATTTTTGTGGATTTATCTACCTTTGGTCTTTGATGTCGGCACCCTTCAGAGGGAGTTTTTGTGTGGATGTCCTTTTTGTTGATGTTGATGCTATTGCTTTCTGTTTGTTAGTTTTCCTTCTAACAGTCAGGCCTCTCTGCCACAGGTCTGCTGGAGTTTGCTGGAGGTCCACTCCAGACCTTGTTTTCCTAGGTATCACCAGCAAAGGCTGCAGAACAGCAAAGATTGCTTTCTGTTCCTTCCTCTGGAAGCTTCATCCCAGAGGGGCACCTGCCAGATGCCAGCCAGAGCTCTCCTGTATGAGGTGTCTGATGACCCCTATTGGAAGGTGTCTCCCAGTCAGGAGGCACAAGGGTCAGGGATCCACTTGAGGAGGCAGTATTTCCCTTTGCAGAGCTCGAGTACTGTGCTTTGAGATCTGCTGCTCTCTTCAGTGACGGCAGGCAGGAACATTTAAGTCTGCTGAAGCTGTACCCACAGCTGCCCCTTCTCCCAGTTGCTGTTTCCCAGGGAGATGGGCGTTTTATCTATAAGACCCTGATTGGGGCTACTGCCTTTCTTTCAGAGATGCCCTGCCCAGAGAGGAGGAATCTAGAGAGGCAATCTGGCTACAGTGGCAAAGCTGTAGTGGGCTCCACCCAGTTTGAACTTCCTGGTGGCTTTGTTTACACTGTGAGGGGAAAACCCACCTAATCAAGCCTCAGCAATTGTAGACACCCCTCCTCCCCACCAAACTCAAGCATCCGAGGTCCACTTCAGACTGCTTTGCTGGCAGTGAGAATTTCAAGCTAGTGGACCTTATGTTTTCGGGCTCCATGGGGATGGGATCCACTGAACTAGAGCACTTGGCTCCGTGGCTTCAGCCCCCTTTCCAGGGGAGTGAATGGTTCTGTCTCGCTGGCATTCCAGGCACCACTGGGGTATGGAAAAAAAAAAAAAAAAACTCCTGCAGCTAGCTTGGTGTCTGCCCAAAGGGCTGCCCAGTTTTGTGCTCAAAACCCTGGGCCCTGGTGGTGTATGCAACCAAATGAATCTCCTGGTCTGCAGGTTGCGAAGACCATGGGAAGGGTGTAGTATCCTGGCTGGAATGCACTGCTTCTCATGGCACAGTCCCTCACGGCTTCCCTTGGCTAGGGGAGGGAGCTCCCCAACCCCTTGTGTTTCCTGGGTGAGGCGATGCCTCACCCTGCTTTGGCTCGCCTTCTGTGGGCTGCACCCACTGTCTAACCAGTCCCAGTGAGATGAGCTGGGTACCTCAGTTGGAAATGCAGAAATCACCCACCTTCTGTGTTGATCTCGCTGGGAGCTGAATTTTTCAGATTTAAGATGCACAACCAATAAGCATAATGTGAATACTCCAAAACTGGTCCCAAGCATTTTGGTTAAGGAATACTCAGCCTGTTTAAGTAGAACTACTCTTATAATTGTAAATATCTATGCATCCAATGTTGTAATATCTTTTCTTATCCCTTTACTATGCCTATTTTATTTATTTGTATACTGTTTTGTGTATGTGTGTCCATATAGGTGAAATGAGTTTCTTGTAAGCAACATATAGCTGGGTCATGTTTTAAAAAATGTATTTAACCCCTCTGTGGCTTTTGATTGGAGAATTTCATCCATTTATATTCAAAGTAATTATTGACAGGTAAGGAATTACAACTACTATTTTGTTAATTGTTTTCTAGTTGTTTTATAGATTCTTTGTTTCTTTCTTCCTCTCTTGCTGTATTCCTTTGTGGCTAAATGATATTCTCTTATAGTGTGTTTTGATTCCTTGTGTATCTACTATAGTTTTTTGCTTTGTCATTACCATGAGGCTTATAGAAAACATCTTATTGTTATAACTGATTATTTTAAGCTTGTGACAATTTAACACTGACTGCAAAAAGAAAACCCACCTTTATACTTTTAGTGCACTCCCTTTCCACATTTTGGATTTTTGATGTCACAATTTATATCTTTTTATATTTCATATATCATAACAAATTATTGTAGCTATTATTGTTATGTTTAATAGCTTAGTCTTTTAATCTTCATACTACAAATATCAATGATTTAAACACCACTATTACAGTATTAGAATATTCTGAATTGAATGTGTGCTTACTTTTACCAGTGAGTTTTATACTTTTAGATGTTTTCTTATTCATTAGTGTTATTTTTCTTGTAGCTTGAAGAACTTCCTTTAGCATTTTTTTGTAAGACAGATCTGGTGGTAGTGAACTCCTTTAGCTTTTTTTCATTTAGGAAAATATTTATCTCTCTTTCATTTCTTAAGAACAGCTTTGCTGGCTGTGGTATTCTTGATTGGCAAGTTTTTCTCCCCTTCAGCACTTTCAGTATATCATCCCACTCTTTAATGGCCTTTAAGGTTTCTGTTGAGAAGTCTACTGTTAGATATATTGGATATCCCTTATGTCATTGGCTTCTTTTCTCTTGCTGCTTTTAGGATCCTTCCTTTGTCTTTGATTTTTGACATTTTAGTTATAATGTCATGAGAATCTTATTTAGATTGAATCTTATTGGAGACCTTTGACTTTTGTTTACCTCAATGTTTATATTTTTATTCATGTTTGGAAAGTATTTTTTCTATTATTACTTCAAATAAGCTTTCTACCCCTTGATTTTTCTCTTCTCTTTTTATGACACCTATGACTCAAATATTTGTTCTTTTGATGTTCTCCCATAAATCTTTTACCCTTTCTTTATTCCTTTCCACTTTTTTCTCTGACTATATAGTTTCAAATAACCTGTCTCTGAGTTCACAAATTCATTCTTCTGCTTGGTCAGTTTTGCAGTTGATGCTCTCAATAGCATTTTGTATTTTGTTCATTGTGTTTTTCATTACCAGGATTTCTGTTTGATGTTTTTCATTGTTTCAGTCTATTAAATCTTTTGTTCTGGTCACTTATTGCTTTTCTTTTTTGTTGAATTGTTTCTCTTTATTTTCTTGAAGTTTGATGAGCTTCCTTAAAACTGTTGTTTTCAACACTTTTTCAGCACTTCATACATCTCAATTTCATTAGAGTCAGTCACTAGCACCTTATTTGATCCCATTGTGATGTCATGTTTCCTTGCTCCTTGTGGTTGTGCATTGATGTCTGTGCATTGGAAGAAGAAGGTACTTATTCCAGTCTTCACAGACTGGCTTTGCCTGAGAAAGCCCAGTTGCAAATATGTCACTTAGGTGCATCAGAAGCCTGGGGCAGCTGCAACCAACATGGCACTGCCAGAAACTTGGGGTACCCTGTGGAAGGCACAGCACTGGGTTGGACCAGAAGCCCAAGGAAGATGCAGCCAGCATTAGACTGGGACACAAATGAAGCCAGGGGCCAGTGAGGCCTGCCTACTGTGGGGGCTGCCTGAAGCTGTGGGCTGTTGATGATGGCCTGGACGTGGTACAGGCTAGAGATTGGGTTTGCCATGCAAGGCTGATGTCTAGAGGAGCTGTGTGGCACTGTCTGGCACTGGGACAGGTCTAGAGGCTCAGTTTGTGGGTACTGGCCTGGTATATAGGGCCATGAGGATATGCCCAGGGCTAGGTTCTACTGCAGCAGTCCCAGTGTTGGGATCCCAGAAAAAGTCCTGCACTCACTGACATCTCTTTCCCCCATGTAAAGGGTATCTTTCTTTATATTTTGCTGCCTGGTGTTGGCAGAGGGTGACCTGGCTAAGGTAAAACTGTCCTCCCTGTCCTCTTCAATGTGTCTTTTCTTATTATTGTGCTAAAACCAGGTACTCTGATATCTCATCTGTTTTCCTTAACTCTTGTGAAGGTATTTTTGTTGTTGTTGTTTGAATAGTTGCTTAAATTGATGTTTCTGCAGGGGGGCAATTACTAGAGAGTACTACTCCATCATCTTGCTCTGTCCCTTCTCAAAGTTACCATTTACTAGTCAAATGATATCTTAGTACTGAGCAAGTACCCAATGAAACCATTCTTATTTTCATGTAAATGGATATCTTTAGTTACTTGGCCGATTGTCCATAATTTCCAAGAACATAAACTTTACTGTGAGAAAGTTGTTTCAATACTCATTCATTCTTTCACTCATTCACTATTTTATTGAGAATCTGTTGTGTATCAAGTATTGTACTACTTCTGGATAAATAATAACAAAAAGAGTAGAAGAGGCTTTGTTTTCCATGAGCTAGTAATACTCCAGTGGAGTCTATAGGTAATTATAAAATTGTACAATAAGTACAAGGACAGAAATGGCTACATGGTGCCAGTAGAGCACATAGTAGAGATATCTTACTTAGAGTGATGGATTAGAATGTAAAAGGCATGTTTATCAATGATATACATTGGCTCAGTTTCTGTCACAAGGAGGGTTTCATGCTGAATTCTGAGTATTCAAGAGGTATATGACCTCAGTGGGCTTAAGATCAAATTGGTGAGAAGGAATATTTACATATTTAGGGAATAACAAGAAGACAGAATTCTTGTAGGACAGGAGTAGGAAATAAAGTTGAAGAGGTAGTTTAGAGCCATGTTGTAAAGATCCCTGAATGCTACAGTAAGAGGTTTTACAATTTATTCAGTGTACTAATGAGTAAAAAAGGGCATTGAAGGATGTTAAGAAGGGATGAATGAAAATGTCTAACTTCTCTGCTATAATATAAGCTCAAAGAATCCAGGAACTGTGTGTCCCATGTTTGGCACTGTCAATCCAGAGCCTAGCTCAGTTTTTATCCTACAGCATGTACTCAATAAATGTATATTGACCAACAGCCTATATACAAAGTGCTGCCTTAGAAAGATAACTCTGGCTGGCCGGGCATAGTGGCTCATGCCTGTAATCCCAGCACTTTGGAGGGCCGAGGTGGGTGGATCACAAGGTCAGGAGATCGAGACCATCCTAGCTAACACAGTGAAACTCCGTCTCTACTGAAAATACAAAAAAATTAGCTGGGTGTAGTGGCAGGTGCCTGTAGTCCCAGCTATTAGTGAGACTGAGGCAGGAGAATGGAGTGAACCTGGGAGGCAGAGCTTGCAGTGAGCTGAGATTGCACCACTGCACTCCAGCCTGGGCAACAGAGCGAGACTCCGTCTCAAAAAAAAAAAAAAAAAAAAAAAAAGATAACTGGCTGTGGTTAATAGCAAGTATTGGGTGGCAGACTAGAGTCAAATGAAAAAAAAAGTCTGGCTGTTCTTGAGTAAAGTAATGAATGTCTGGGCTATAGAGAGAATATTGGAAACAGAATGAGGAGATGCTTGCGAGGAAGACGTGGGTAGCTCTTAATGACTGGATAGGTTAATGAGCAAGGCAAATGTTGGAAACAAGGGTTATTCTAAGGTTTTAAGAGGATAATAGCAAAGAGCTGTTGGCAGAAAGAGGGTAGTCTAGCAGAGAAACTAATTTGGGGAGAAAAATTATGCGTATGGGCTTTAAAACTACAAATACACTAGTCCAAAAATTGTCAACTAATTTCCAGTAGACTAAGTGTCTAAGAGATTGTAGACAACTAGTTTTGTCTGTTGTTATACTACATAGTGGTTATGTTCAAGCCATCAGTTATAGTAATGGTCTTATGCCAAGGCTATACTATTTTCCACACACATCAATAGACAGGAAGTCCACTATGCCTTTTAAGATGGAAGCTGTTTGAATGTGGAGTGTCTTAGTCTGTTTTGTGCTGTTATAACAGAATACCCGAGACTAGGTAATTTATAATGAATAGAAATTTACTGGCACACAGTTCTGGAGGCTGGGAATTCCAAAGTCAAGATCCTTCTTAAAGGACCTTGGCAAGAGCCTTCTTGCTGCATTATCACATGGCTGAAGGCAGAAGGGCAAAAGCACAAGAAATGAACCCATTCCTACGAGTACCTTTTATGTCAGCATCAATCCATTCATGAAGGTGGAGCCCTAATGACCTAAACACCTCCCATTAAGCCTTACCTCCCAACATTTGTTGCATTGAGAATTAAGTTTCCAACACATGAATTCTGGGGAACACATTCAAACCACAGCATGGAGCAAATGAATCAATCAAATGAAAGTGTAAGTGACTTCAACAGCAGCTCAATAATAATAATAATAAATCATACAGAATTTTTGAAATACCTAACTATTGAAATACTATCTTTTTAAATTCAGTACTGCAATTTCAAGGTCCTGTTTCATTAACTAGTATACTGAAAAAATAATGATATGTATATCCTTGCAGAGAACAGGAGTTGAATGGTGTTTAAAAAAATAGTAGTAAAATACAATAGCAGTTTACTAAGCCAATATGTCACAACTTTGATTATGCAAAAAGTGAAGTGGAGTGTAGTGAATTTGAGGTCAACTTTTCAAACAAGTCATCAGGGGGAAAATAAGAAAAGTGGCAAAGAGCTAAATATGCATGAAGCTGCTATTGAAGTTTAATGGAAAAATGGGGCTCTTGTCAGCTAGCTGAGTACTTAATAATGTTAACACCACTACAAACAAGTTGTGGTTTATTGCTTCAATTTCCTACATACTGGCAAGAGAATTAACAAGACTGATGCACTAAGATCTTAGATTTCAGTCAAATTAGGTGACTAAGAGGGTGATGAAAAAACACTTGTTCTTGAAGGGAACACAACTCTATCAGGAACTTGTTACATTCTGCATCAGATCATTGGATAAGCTGCTGATTTAACAGTTACACTGAAAAGAAAACTCTTTAATCAGTCCTTTCTGTAAAAGAGTTACTATGTGTTACTTTATTTAAAGGAATCGTACGCAGAAGTAGGAAATTTAAGTACATCTTTAAATATTTGTGTGTGAATTCAGAGATGAATAAAATACAATGACTTTGTGAATATCCCTGCTTCATTCAGAGTATAAGATACTAGTGAAGTAGGCTTTTTAAAGGTGAATGTACTTCAGTTTTCCCTGAGATTTAATGGAGGCTCTCCAAGAAATTAAACGGCTCACCTGTAATGTCTTAGTCAAATAGAAACTTTCTCCTTCAAGCTCTTTCTCAGCACCAGTATGGATACTACCCAATGTCAATCATCAGTGTTCGTATCTACATTTTCTGGCTCATAAACCAGACAGAGAAAAGAGACTGGTCCATTACAAAATAGCAAGTACAGGCCAGGCACGGTGGCTCACACCTGTAATCCCAGCACTTTGGGAGGCTGAGGCTGGTGGATCGCTTGAGGTCAGGAGTTCGAGACCAGCCTAGCCAACATGGTGAAACCCCATCTCTACTAAAAATACAAAAATTAGCCAGGTGTGGTGGCAGGTGCCTGTAGTCCCAGCTACTCGGGAGGCTGAGGCAGGAGAATCGCTTGAACTCGGGAGGTGGAGATTGCAGTGAGCCGAGATTATGCCACTGCTCTCCAGCCTGGGTGACAGAGCAAGACTCCATCTCAAAAACAAGTAAATAAAAATTTAAAAAAAATCAAAACAGCATATACATATGGCCTCTTTAGAAAAGAGTAAAACAAGAGGTAAAAATATGAGCCCAATTGATGAAGAGCTAAAGATGTTGCTGAGGAAGTATCACTGCAGCTTCAGCTTATTCAGTGAAAAATATCCATATTGGGTATACAAACTGATTAAAAGTCACCTAATAATAGTATATGGAGAAAAAGCAGATTGTCATTGTTTAAAATATTAAGTTTTTCCATAGAATATGGGATGCTTTTTTAATTTGCAAGTTGATTTTCTTTTTTTACTTTAAGTTCCTGGATACATGTGCAGAATGTGCAGGTTTGTTACATAGGTATACATGTGCCATGGTGGTTTGCTGCACCTATCAACCCATCACCTAGGTTTTAAGCACCGCATGCATTAGGTATGTGTCTTATTACTCTCCCTGCTTTTGGCCTCCAACCCCTGACAGGCCCTGGTGTGTGTTGTTCCCCTCCGTGTCCATGTGTTCTCCTTGTTCAACTCCCACTTATGAGTGAGAACATGTGGCATTTGGTTTTCTGTTCCTGTGTTAGTTTGCTGAGAATGATGGCTTCTAGCTTCATCCATGTCCCTGCAAAGAACATGATCTCATTCTTTTTATGGCTGCATAGTATTCCATGATGTATATGTGCCACATTTTCTTTATCCAGTCTATCATTGATGGGCATTTGGGTTGGTTCCAAGTCTTTGCTATTGTAAATAGTGCAAATTTACAAGAAAAAAAACAACCCCATCAAAAAGTGGGCAAAGGATATGTACAGACACTTCTCAAAAGAAGACGTTTATGTGGCCAATGAATATGTGAAAAAAAGCTCATCATCACTGATCATTAGAGAAATGCAAATCAAAACCACCATGAGATACCATCTCACGCCAGTCAAAATGGCGATTATTAAAAAGTCAGGAAATAATAGATGCTGGCGAGGCTGTGGAGAAATAGGAATGCTTTTACACTGTCGGTGGGAGTGTAAATTTGTTCAACCCTTGTGGAAGAGAGTGTGGCAATTCCGCAAGGATCTAGAACCAGAACTACCATTTGACCCAGCAGTCCCATTACTGGGTATATGCCCAAAGGATTATAAACCATTCTACTATAGAAACACATGTACATCTATGTTTATTGATATTTTTTCTTCAGAAGATTTACCTGGTTTGATTCTTCTATTGGAGTAGAGGTTATAGATTCATTGAATCATAGGTTATTAGACCTTAGAAATCCAGTAGTTTAAAACTTTTAGCTGCGGAATTATTTTTAAAATGAAATCTTATGTGAAAGCCCAATATATCTATGGATGAAAACAGAGCTGCTTGGGTAAAAGTGGGGAAAGGAGCTGGCCCCACCAGCTGTCCCTGCCATCTCTGCAGCATCCACTCCTAAGGCACATTAGAGGATCCCCAGAATAGTAGGTGTGATTAGAAAACACATAAATTTCACAAATAATAAAACTAAGGCTCAGAGGTAATAAAATGACTTGGCCAAGGTCACACAACCAAGAAGGCAGAGGTAGTATTTAGGTCTTCCAAGCTGGGCTAAAGTCAATATGTTTATAGCCACCCACTGGATGGTAAAAGGTGGCTTACCTCATCAGCCTCTCAAACTATCACTTTTTGGCAATTTTTAGAAATAATTAACACAAAAGAGAAAGTTACATTAATTTTCCTCCCATTAAATAGATGGCTTAAGAGTAAAAGGCAAAACAGATTTTGTCTAGTACTTGGTAGCTCTCAATTCCATGGAGGAAAGGAAGAGGCTGGGCACAGTCATTAGGAGGGCTTCTTACAGAAGCCGAAGTTGCTTGGGAAATTACAGAACCATTGACTAGAATACATCAAGTACAAAAGGGATATGCAATAATAGAAAAGTAGTTATGCACCTAAGTCCTGAAATGTAGTATTACATCCATCCTGAGAGGTAATCACTCCTGTCATTGCTAAGCTCTGCAATCATTCAGTCTAGCATGATAGATGGCTTTGTGCTCAATCCCATCACAGGCAGATCTTGCTTCAGAACCCTGGGCTCTTATGGCTCAGCTGAGGTTCAGGCAGAAGAGAGAAATAGCCATCCTGGCAGTTTTTCACTAACCTTTAGGTATTGGTTATTGGCCTACTTAATGGAAATAAATGATTTTTTTTCATTAGGGCTTTATGGAGCCATTTAAAATTATAATCTTTCCTGTCTCAGAATTAGTTTAATATGATCCACTATGATTACCTCTAATTGGATTTAATTTAGATTAAAATGTTTGAGCTCATATAATGGATAAGGCTCTATTGCAGTGTGTGTGGGGAGGGGGGCATGTGGGTATGCCTGCTTAAATTTCAGGAGATTGATTTTTCTTGCTATTGACTGCTGCAATTGTATGTTACTAAACCCTGGACTAGCAAATAGTCAGAATGTCATTTTACTGCAAAAACAGTTTGTCCTTGTTGAAAGTTGTAGTTAGAGAACACAGAGTGTACTAAAATTCTATCTTGAGAAGGAATAAAATAGAGGCATGCTATTTTCTTCTATCCCTTTCCCAACCCCCACCCCTGAGTATATGCTGCAACTTTTGCCCTAAAATGTGTATTTGTACCTATATATCTCTCTAAAGCTCTTGAGGTTTTGTTGGCCATTCCTCACGTGGATACTGAAGAACCCTTGTTAATGGGCAAAATGGTAAATGGCATAAGCATTTAATTCAGGGAGTAATCATGGTAGAAACAGTCTAGGGCTCTAAACAATAGATGAAATGCTCCTTTTTGTGAAAGAGTAGGGGCTGATGGTTAGCATTGCATCAGGGCCCATTCCCGACACGTAACAGTGGTGTTTGCTTTCTGCTTGCTTCTATGTCCCAAGTGGATCCTTGCTTCTGTCTTGCTGCTTCCTTCCTCTATTAGGGCTATAAAATGACTTAGTTTTGCCATAATCAGGTGACTAAAACATTGTGGTGCTTTTCCAAACATGTATTTTTAAAGGCATTTACACAGTGACACTGTGTTTTAAGAGCTCAGTGTGTCTCTCCAGGGGCCTGGCACTTGCAGCTCACTAATGCACTGGCTTAGTTCCCTTTCTAACAGGAGGCACCCATTAAAAGCCTGCTCCCACCTCAGACCCATCGATTCTAAAACCTGACTGGCCCAAAGGAGCCTTATTTTAGTGATTAAGACTTCAGATGGATTACCCTTGACTTGAATGCTATGGATTGATTTGGTTATCACAGTGTGCAGATTTGAGGTTTGCTATTGAAAGCCACAGAGATGAGATATCAGAACTGTTCCCTGTAAAATTGGAAGCATTATATACGGACTAAACATGTGCATGAAATCCAAGAGGGCAGGAGAAGCAAATCTGGTTCCAAACCTGATGAGCATAATGCCTCCTTCCTCTGGTTTCTTTCCAATCTTTCCTAGCATTCTGGTAGCTAGAATTTACAGCCTTGGGAACCTATTAAAATGAGTTTCACAGTATTATGGAATTAAAAATGAGGAGTTAGGAGGAAAATTTGCTTGGAACCAGGCAAATTTATCAATACTTGCATTCATTTTGATTTTGTTCCACCTTGAAACATCTGAGCATAGAAGTGATAGAAAAATAGACTCATCAGTACAAGTCAGATGCTAATATTACAACTGAGAAGCTGACCTTGATAACCCTGAAGGGAGAGTTGGATGTTGGTGCTTCCGCTTTTATCCTTCATAGGTTGAGTCCCCTTAGAAACTGTTACTTTTGGGGTTAGACGTTGATTATAATCAGACTTTCCACTTGACTATGGGTTGTTATGTTCTTGTTGAAGGATAGACAGGAAACATCAAGAGAGACCATTGTTGTCAAGAGGACTGGGTAATCCCCATTCACTATCAAGAGAAGGAAGGAAGTCCAGTTTTCATTTCCTTCTGTGAGATGGAGTATATAACAAATATGAAAACCATCAAAGAATCTATGGAGGCTTCTGTTTAGTCTACAGCCAAGAATAAGTTAAGTCTCAATGTGAAGAGTAAAGATATATCTTTAGTAACTCATATAATTTAACAAAGCAGCTCCTGAATGAAATAAATGTGAGGAAGTGTGATGTGAATCTTAATAGAAAGGAGGAACTGGTAGCACAAATAAACAGTTTTCTAGATTGTCAGGACACTTATGGGTTCATGTAAATCCAATCCAGAATATGAGCTAGGGATTCCCAACTCTCCTTTAGTGGCGGTGCTCTCTTACTTAACAATCTTCTGTCCCAGCCCCATTTCTCTAAATACAAGTAGTGAATGACATTTGTTTGTTATATTTCAGATTAAAGCAAGGATAAAATTATTATTTTTAATGAGGGATAATACAATTCTACAGTGCTCTTTAAGATCACTGGAGGCATTCTGAGGTGTCACAAAACCAATATTGGGAAACTAAACTAACTCTTCCGTTAAATTTGGTTTAAAGAGTTGGCAACTTTCAAATGTGTAATAAGTATGTTTAGAAATCATGAGGACAAACTTCCTTTGGGTTTTTACCAATTTCACCTTTTACCACAGCTCTTCCAACTCTGTGGCCATCTGTTTTGAGGCGGAGACTGATAAGTCCCACAGGAAACTTCAGATTCTTATCTATTCTTACTGATGTAAGAGACATCTCAGTCTCAGGGGAATTTTGTGGTCTAGTTCTCTAAATAATGGCATCCATATTAAAATGCACATTTGGTGATTTGATGCATCTGAATAGACAAAATAAGAGGCTATATGGGTTGGTTGATTGTTAGTACAGCCAGCCAAAGAGAGCACAGTCAGCAACCTACTGTTGAATTTTGGAAAGGGTGAAAATAGCCAGTGGAAGCTGTTATTGTCCTTATTATTATTATCATTGTCATTGTTATAAAATAATTCACATAAAAATCCAATAAATAGTATAAAATTAAAAGTAAAGTTTTCTTCTCTCTCCCCTCAACCCCAGTCCCATTTCCTAGAGAAGCTACTTTTAGCTTTTTTAATGATTCTAGAATATCATAATACTAAAAATCTGGTGTTCTTTCTTGCTGTTTCATTGTTAGATAGTACATATTGACAGTATTTTCTGTTGCTCTTATATATGAGGAATTTAGGAAACTACACTCACTGTTTTCCAGATTTCATCTCAACTTCCTGATTTTATTAGTTATATTATTTTTAAAACAGCCAGTGATTTCATTTTCAAATTTGAACAATGTATATCCAGCTGTATTTCGTGTTTCATCAAATTTTGACACTATTTATTTACTCCCTACTTTGTAAACAAAATAAACTAACACATACACACATATCCCACGTCTCCTTCTCTCCTTCTGCCTCCTGTTGTCTCCTACATCATTACTCTTATGTTGTCAATGTTTGTAACATTTACAGCGTATTCTGTAACTACTGATTTGAACCATATGAAATTGTAATTTATGTTCGTCAAAAATAGTTAAATATCAGCAATTTTATGTGGTTCATTCCATGTTTGCAGATGATATAATCTTATATTTGGAAAAACCCAGGGTCCACCAAAAAACTATTAGAACTGATAAACAAATTCAGTAAAGTTGCAGTATACTAATACAATTATGTTTTCTGTGCTTGCCTATAGCTTGATTCTAAAAGTTGAAAGCCAATAGACATTCGTAGTATTAGATATATGTATGTTTCTCATGACACTAAATTTTCATAAGATCTATGGTTTTAAATAGCATTTAATGACTTTCATAAATAAATTCCCAGTCTCAACCTGTTCCCTGTAATACAGACTGCTATCTAACTACCTACTTACCTGTGCATTCTAACATGCTATCTCAAACTTAACGTGTCCAAAACATCTTTTTCTCTTTAATTTTTTATTTATAATTTTTGTGGGTACATAGTAGGTATATATATTTATGGGATACATGAAATGTTTTGATACAGGCATATAAAATATAATAATCACTGTCTGGGGCCAAGATGACTGACTACAAGCAGCTATGGTGCGTGACTTTCATGGAGAGGAATGAAAAGGGCGAGTAAATATGGCACCTTCAACTGAAACACCCAGGGACTCACACGGGGACCAATCAGGGAAACGGCTCAACCCACAGGGAATGGAGAAAAGCAAGGCAGGGCAACAGCCCACCTGGGAGTGACATGGAACCAAGGGAATTTCCCCTGCCCAGAGAAGCAGTGAGTGAATGTGCAACCCAGGGAAACCATGCTTCTCCCATGGATCCTTGCAACCCTTGGGTCAGGAGATCCACTCATGAACCCACTCCTCTAGGGCCTTCAGTCTGACACACAGAGCTGCATGGAGTCTTGGCAGAACAGCCACTCAGGCATGCATGGAGGCCCAGGACACTCAGGCATGCATGGAGGCCCAGGAGCTTTACCTACTGTGGCACTGGGCTTTCCGGCAAAATGACTGCCACTCTGGTAAGGTGGGAGATGGGACCTCCATACGTACCCCTACAGAGGGGACTGAATCCAGGGGGCAGAGCAGTGATGGTCTGCGGGCCCCACTTTCACTGTGTCCCACAAGATAAGACCCACTGCTTTAGAATTCCAGCCCCACCAGCAACAGTATTGAGCCTACCTGGGATGGAGTTCTAAGGCTCGGAGGAGGACGAGGGGTGGGCTGCCATCTTTGCTGTTTGGGCAACTCAACCATTCTACCCTGTGGGCTTTAGAGAGTCCAAACCAACTGTGGACCAAAGGTATCTCACAGCACAGCACACCACAGCTGCTCTACCACAACATGGCCAGACTGCTTCTTTAAGTGGATACCTGACCTGTTCCTCCTCACTGGGCAGGACCTCCCAACTGGGGCCTCCAGTCACCCTCATTGGTGTTCTCTGGCTGACAGAGATTTGAATTCTCTCTGGGATGGAGTTCCCAGAGGTGGAGGTAGGCTGCCATCTTTGCTATTTGGGCAACTTAGATATTCCAGCCTGTGGGATTTGGAGAGCCCAAGCCAACCAGGGTAGAAGTGATACCTCAGCATAGCACAGCTGCTCTATGAAAATGTGGCCAGACTGCTTCCTTAAAAGGGTCCCCGATCCCGTTTCTCCTCACTGAGAGGATCTCCTAATCAGGGCCTCCAGCCACCCCCGCCAGTGTTCTCTATGGGAATGAGTTTCTGGGAGAGGGGTGGGCCGCCACCTTTGCTGTTTGGGCAACCCAGATTTTCTAGTCTGCAGGCTTTGGAGAGTCCAAACTGACCAGGGGTGGAAGGAATCCCCCAGCCCAGCACAGCTGCTCTACCAAAACATGGTCAGACTACTTCTTTAAGCCTGTCCCCAATCCATTCCTGCTCACTGTGTGGGACCTCTCAACTGGGGCCTCCAGCCACCCCCACTGGTGTTCTCTGGCTGACAGAGATTTGAAAACTTCTTGGACGGGGCTCCCAGAGAGAGGGGCAGACCACCATCTTTGCTGTTTCGGGAGCTCAGCCATTCCAGCCTCCATGCTTTGGAGAGCCAAAGCCAACTGGGGGCAGAGGCAGTACCCCAGCATAGTGCAGCTGCTCTATGAAGGCACAGCCAGACTGCTGCTTTAAGCAGATCCCTGATCCCCTTCCTCCTGACTGGGCAAGACCTCCCAAAGGGGGTCTCCAGTCACTCCGACAGGTGCATTCAGGCCAGCAACAGGTTCATACCTCCCTGGGATGGAGCTCTCAGAGGAAGGGATGGGCTTCCATCTTTCTTGTTTTGCAGCCTTCACTAGTGATACCTCCAGGTACTAGAAAATGCAAGGCAATTAGGGACTGTAGTGGAACCCCAGCAAATGGCAGCAGCACTATGGAAAAGTGGCCAGACTATTAAAAAAAAAAAAAGCCATCCAAAGGTCAACAACCTCAAAGATTAAAGGTAGGTCTGCCCACAAAGATGAGAAGGACTCAGTGCAAGAATGCTGAAAACTCAAAAAGCCAGAGTGCCCTCTTTTCTCCAATGACTGGATCACCTCTCCAGTAAGGGTTCAGAACCGGGGTGAGGCTGAGATGGCTGAAATGACAGAAGTAGAATTCAGAATGTGGATAAACACAATCTTCACTGATCTTAAGGAGCACATTGTAACCCAATGCAGGAAAGCTAAAAATCATAAAATATTGCAGGAAGTGACAGACAAAATAGCCAGTATAGAGAAGAATGTAATGAACCTGATGGAGCTGAAAAACACAATACAAGAATTTCATAATGCAATCACAAGTATTAATAGCAGAAAAGACCAAGTGGAGGAAAGAATCTCAGAGTTTGAGGACTGTGTTTCTGAAATAAGGCAGACAGACAAGAATAGAGAAAAAAGAATGAAAAGGAACGAACAAAACCTCCAAGAAATATGGGATTGTGTAAAGAGACTGGATCTACAACTAATTGGTGTGCCTGAAAGAGATGGTGAGAATGGAACCAATTTGGAGAACATATTTCAGAATATCCTCCAGGAGAACGTCCCCAACCTAGCTAGATAGATCAACACTCAAATTCAGGAAATGCAGAGAACCCAAGTAAGATACTCCATGAGAAGATCATTCCGAAGACACATAATCATCAGATTCTTTAAGGTTGAAATGAAAGAAAAAACATTAAGGGCATCTAGAGAGAAAAGTCAGGTCATCTACAAAGGGAAACTCATTAGACTAACAGCAGACCTCTCAGGAGAAACCTTTCAAGTCAAAAGAGATTGGGGGCCAATATTCAAAATTCTTAAAGAAAAGAAATTCCAACCCAGAATTTCTTGTCCAGACAAACTAAACTTCATAAGCGAAGGACAGATAAGATCTTTTTCAGACAAGCAAATGCTGAGGGAATTCATTACCACCAGACCTGCCTTAAAAGAGATCTTGAAAGGAGCACTAAGCCTAGAGGGGAAAGACCACTACCAGCCACTACAAAAACACACTGAAGTACATAGACCAGTGACACTATAAAGCAACGACATAAACAAGTCTGAAAAATAACCAGCTAACAGCATGATGACAGGATCAAATCCACACATATCAATACTAACCTTAAATGTAAATGGACTAAATGCCCCCAATTAAAAGACACAGAGTGGCAAGCTGAATCAAGAACCAAGACCCATTAGTACGCTGTCCTCAGGAGAACCATCTCACATGCAATGACACACATAGGCTCTAAATAAAGAGATGGAGGAAAATCTACCAAGCAAATGGAAAACAGAAAAAAGCTGGGGTCACAATCCTAGTTTCTGATGAAACAAACTTTAAACCAACAAGATCAAAAAAGACAAAGAATGGCAGTACATAATAGTAAAGGGTTCAATTCAACAAAAAGAGCTAACTACCCTAAGTATATATGCACCCAATACAAGAGCACCCAGATTCATAAAGCAAGTTCTTAGAGACGTCCAAAGAGAATTAGACTTCTAAATAATAATAGTGGGAGACTGTAACACCCACTGACAATATCATCATCAAGACAGAAAATTAACAAAGATAGTCAGGACCTGAACTCAGCTTGGGGTCAAATGGACCTGATGGATATCTTCAGAACTGTCCACCCAAAAACAACAGAATATATATTCTTCTCATTGCCACATGGCACTTACTCTAAAATTGATCACAAAATTGGAAGTAAAACCTCCTCAGCAAATGCAAAAGAACTGAACTCATAACAGCCTCTTGGACTACAGCATAACCAAATTAGAACTCAAGACTAAGGAATTCACTCAAAACCACACAATTACATGGAAATTGAATAACCTACTCTTGAATGACTTTGTGGTAAATAAAGAAATTAAGGCAGAAATCAAGAAGTTTTTGAAACAAATGAGATAAAAGATGCAACATACCAGAATCTCCGGGACACAGTGAAGGCAGTGTTAAGAGGGAAATTTATAGCACTAAATGCCCACATCAAAAAGATCTCAAGATAACAACTTAACATCACAAGTAAAAGAATTAAAAAACCAAGAGCAAACAAATCCCAAAGCTAGCAGAAGACAATAAATAACCAAAATCAGAGCAGAACTGAAAGGGATAGAGACATGAAAAGCCATTCAAAAGAGCAGTGAATCCTGGAGATGGTTTTTTAAAAAATATAATAAAATAGATAGACTGCAAGCTAGAATAATAAAGAAGAAAAGAGAGAAGATTCAAATAAACACAATCAGAAATGAAAAGGGATATTACCACTGACCCCACAGAAATACAACCAACCATCAGAGAATACTGTAAACACCTCTATACACACAAACTAGAAAACCTGAAGAGATGGATAAATTCCTGAACACATACACCCTCCCAAGACTGAACAAGGAAGAAATTGATTCCCTGAGCAGGTCAATAATGTGCTCTGAAGTTGAGTCAGTAATAAATAGCCTACCAACCAAAAAAATCCCAGGACCTGATGGATTCACAGCTGAATTCTACCAGCTGTACAAAGAAGAGCTAGTACCAGTCCTCCTGAAACTATTCCAAAAAATTGAAAAGGAGGGACTCTTTCTAACTCATTCTATGAGGCCAGAATCATCCTGATACCAAAACCTGGCAGAGATAAAACAAAAACAAAAACAAAAAAGAAAGAAAACTTCGGGCCAATATCCTTGATGAACATCGTTGCAAAAATCTTCGATAAAATACTGGCAAACCGAACCCAGCAGTACATCAAAAAGCTTATCCACCATGATCAAACAGACATTATCCCCAGGATGCAAGGTTGGTTCAATATATGCAAATCAAAAAATGTGATTCATCACATAAATAGAACTAAAGACAAAAACCACATGATTATATCAATAGACACAGAAAGGCCTTCAATAAAATTCAACATTCCTTTTTGTTAAAAACTCTCAATAAACATGGTATTAAAGGAACATACTCCAGAACCATAAGAACCATATGTGTCAAACTGACAGCCAATATCATAGTGAATGGGCAAAGGCTGGAAGCATTTTCCCTGAAAACTGGCGCAAGACAAGGATGCCCTCATCACTCCTATTTCACATAGTATTGGAAGTTCTGGCCAGGGCAATCAGGCAAGAGAAAGAAAGAAAGGGCATTCAAATAGGAAGACAGGAAGTCCAACTATGCCTGTTTGCAGATGACATGATCCTATATCTAGAAAGCCCTGTCCTAGCCCAAAAGCCTCTTAAACTAATAAGCAACTTCAGCAAAGTCTCAGGATACAAAATATATATGCAAAAATCACTAGCATCCCTATACACCACCAACAACCATACCGAGAGCCAAATCAGAAATGAACTCCCATTCACAATTGTCACAAAAAGAATAAAATACCTAGGAATACAGCTAACTAGGGAGGTGAAAGATCTCTAGAAAGAGAACTACAAACCACTGTTCAAAGAAATCAGAGATGGCACAAACAAATGTAAAAACTTTCCATGCTCATGGATAGGAAGAATCAATATTGCGAAAATGGCCCTACTGCCCTAAGCAACCTATAGATTCAATGCTATTCCCATTAAACTACCATTGGCATTCTTCACAGAACTAGAAAAAATTATTTTAGAATTCATATGGAACCAAAAAAAAAAAAAGCCCAAATAGCCACGGCAATCCTAAGCAATAAGAACAAAGCTGGAGGTATCACGCTACCTGACTTCAGACTGTATACTACAGGGCTACAGTAACCAAAAGAGCATAGTACTGGTACAAGAACAGATACATAGACAAATGGAACAGAATAGAGAACCCAGAAATAAGACTGCACACCTACACCTATCTGATCTTTGACAAACCTGAAAAGAGCAGGTTTGTCAAAGGATTCCCTATTCAATAAATAGTACTAGGATAACTGGCTAGCCATATGCAGAAGATTGAAACTGGACCCCTTCCTTACAACTTATACAAAAATCAACTGAAGATGGAATAAGGACTTAAATACAAAACCCAAAACTATAACAACCCTGGAATACAACCTAGGAAATACCATTCAGAATATATAAGCACTGGCAAAGATTTCATGATGAAGACAGCAAAAGCAATTGCAACAATAGAACAAATTGACAAATGCAATCTAATTAAACTAAACAGCCCCTGCACTGCAAAAATAAACTATCAACAGAGTAAACAGACAACCTACAGAATGGGAGAACATTTTTGCAAACTATGCATCTGACAAAGGTCTAATATCCAGCATTTATAAGGAACTTAAATTTGCAAGAGAAAAACCAACAGCCTCATTAAAAAGTGGGCAAAGGACATGAACACTTCTAAAGAAGACATACACGTGGCTAAGTCATATAAAAAAAAAAAGCTTAGCATCACTTATCATTAGAGAAATGCAAATCCAAACCACAATGTGATATCGTTTCACACCAGTCAGAATGGCTAGTGTTAAAAAGTCAAAAAATAACAGCTGCTGGTGAGGTTGTGGAGAAAAGGGAACACTTACACACAGTTTTGGGGAGTGTAAATTAGTTCTACCATTGTGGAAAGCAGTATGGCGATTGCTCAAAGAACTAAAAGCAGAACTACCATTTGACTCAGCAATCCTATTATTGAGTATATACCCAAAGGAATATAAATAAATCTATTATAAAGACACACACACAGGTATGTTCACTGCAGCACTATTCACAATAGCAAACACGTGGAGTCAACCTAAATGCCCATCAATGATAGACTGGATAAAGAAAATGTGGTACCCATATGCCGTGGCATACTATGCAGCCATAAAAAACAACAGGATCATGTCCTTTGCAGGGACATGGATGAAGCTGGAGGCCATTATGCTTAGTAAACTAACACAGGAACAGAAAACCAAATATTGCATATTCTCACTTATAAGCGGGAGCTAAATGACGAGAACACATGGACACAGAGAAAGGAAGAACATACACTGGGGCCTATTGGAAGTTGGAGTGTGGGAGGAGGGAGTGGATCAGAAAAACTAATATGTACTAGGCCTAATACCTCGATGATGAAATAATCTGTGCGACAAACCCCCATGACACACATTTACCTATGTAACAAACCTGTGCATGTACCCCTGAACTTAAAATTAGCATATATGTAAATGTGTGTGTATGTGAAATGGGGTATCCATCTCCTCAAGTATTTATCCTTTGTGTTACAATCTATACTTTTATTTTAAAATGTACAATTAAATTAGCATTGACAATAGTCACCCTGTTGTGCTATCAGGTAGTAGATCTTATTATTTCCTAGCTTGAAAAACCATCTCTCTGCCTGTTTCTAGTAAAAGACACCACTACCCATCAGTTGCTGAAACCCCAAACCTGGGAGTCATCTCAGATTCCTACCTGTCTTTCACTCCCTGCTCTACTTTCAATAACATCTCCTATTGTCTCTTCCTCCAAAACATATCCTAAATTGATCAATTCTCAACCCCTCTAATATTACCAACCTCATTCAAGCCATTATCGTCTCTTGAATCATAGTCTAGCAAATAGTTACCTAACTGGTCTCCCTGTTTATATTCTTGATCTCATACCTACAGTCTATTCTCCAGAGGGTAAGCAGAATGATTTTAAAGCAGAATCCGATCATTTCCCTCCCCTCCTTAAAACCCTCCAATGGTTCTGTTGTATTTAGAATGAAAGAAGAAAATCTTTTGCATAGCCTGCAAGGCTCTGCATAATTCAGCCGCAAACAAACCTCTCTGATCATGTGTTCCATCACTCATGTCCCTCATCTGTGGTCTTTCAGCTACAGTGGCCTTGCTGTTTCTGCCCCATACCATGATTCTTCCTACATTAAGGCCTTAAAATGTGCTGTTTCCTCTGCCTGCAATACTCTGTTTTCAGATCTTTCCATGGCTGGCTCTTTGCTGTCATTCAGGTCTCAGTGCAAATATCACCTCCTTGCCTAATCACCCAATCTTAAATAGAAGATACTGCCCCATCAATGGTCACTCATAACCTGCTCTACCACCTACCCAGTTTTTTTTTCTTCATAATACTTAGAAGTTGAAATTTTCTTGTTTATTTCTTTATTTGTTCATTATTTATCTTCCACTATCTGAATGTTTGCTCCATTATGACAGAGTATTTTTTCTGTTTTTGTTCAGTCATGTATCCCCTGAGCACCTAGGACCAATGTCCAGCATGTAGTATCCACTCAAAAAATATTTATTAAGCAATACACTTTCTAAAGAAAGATGCCACATTTAGTTTGCTTCATCATTTGAAACATAGCTCTTTTGTGCAGCTTTTTTTTTTTTGCTAGAGTTTCTAATTGCCTTTTCTTCCCTCCGTCTCCCCCTCCCCTCCTTCCTTCCTTTCTTCTTTCCTGTCTCTGACAGAAGAGGCACTTGCTACTATTTCATCACTAAGAACCTCAAAGTTCTTACACATACAGTTTGTGGGATAGATTTATTTTCTTCTTAAAGGTATTTTTCAAGCATTCCTCTAACTTCATGTCCAGATTGAATCAATTACCTTCTATCATTCTGGGATACATTTTTATTTCCCACTTTAAAAGTACGTCCTTGAATGTTTTTCCCAAAAAAAAATGAAAATGAAAATTTCCAAGTCTTTTAATGCAGAAAATGGCTTTACTTTGCCCTCTCAGTTGATTGTTTTTTCTAGAATAAAATTACAGGTTTTAATTTATTTCCCATTAGAACTTTAAAGACATTGTCCTTTACAGTTTTAATAAGGAGAGTAACATCAATCTGATCCCACTCCTTTAGAGATGACTGATTTAATTGGTTTTCTTTTATATCAGGAATCTTTTCATTTGTTCGCTTATTCCGCAAATGTTTATGGTGTATCTACTATATGTCAGGTAGTATTTTAGTAACTAGATTTATAGAAATGAATAAAACATTGTTCATTGTTTTGTAGGCTAAAATCCCTGCCTCATGAAGCTTATTTTCTAGTGGGTAAAGAGAATAAAAAGTATAAGTATATAAAATTTGTGGTATATAAGATGGTGATAAATCCTCGGTAGACAAATAAAGCATGGAGGGATAAGAAGTACTAGGGGAGGGGATTACATTTAGATAAGGTGGTCTTGGAAGTCTTCACTAGGAAAATGACTTTTGAGTAAAGATTTGAAGGAACCATAAGGATAAATCATGCCAATATCTGATGGGAAATATTTCCAAGGAAAATGAATAGTCACAAAAGCCCTGATTTTAAAGCCAGGCAAGTTCATTTCAGAAATAGTGGGGAGGGCAGATAGACCCGTGGAATAAATGAATGAGTAGTGTAAGATGAAGTCATGGGCAAGTCATGGAAGATGTGATAGGTTAGAATAAAGAATTTGGTATTTACTCTGAGTGAGATATGAAACCACCATCAGGTTTCAAAGAAAGTCTTCTGGATTGAAATAGACTAAATGTGGGCAAAGGCAGAAGCAAGGAGACTAGTGAGAAGGGTACTGCAATAATCCAGGTTAAGAATCATGATGGTTTGGATTACAGTGGTGGCAGTTGAAGTGGTGAGGAGTGTCTAGATTCTGGATATATTTTGAGACAGAGACAACAAGGTTTTCTGCATGTGAAATAAAGGAGAAACAAGAGTCAAGGATAAATCAAAGTATTTTTTCCTAAGCAACTGAAAATATGCCATAATTAAAGTATGTGAGGGAAATTATAGGGGGATATTTCCTTTGGGTGGGGTGGGTGGGATATCAGAAGCTCAGTTTCATGTATCAATTTTGAGATGTCAAGTAGGCGGTTGGATATACCAATCTGGATTCAGGAGAAAAATCCAGGATGAAGATTTAAAGTTAATACTCATCAGCCTATAACTGGTATTTAAATTCATGACACTGGATAATTCCTCTCAGGAAGTAAGAAGAGATAGAAAAGAGTACCAAGAACCAAGTCGTGAGTTACTTCAATGTTTACAGTCTGTGGAAATGAGAAACCAGCAAAGAGACTAGAAAGGAATGACTTGTTATCAAGAGGGGAAATCTACAGTGAATGATGTTTCCTGGAAACTAAGTGATTTTTCTCTTTATCTTTCATGAACTGAAATTTCAACTTGGTATCTTTCAATACCAAGTAGGTAGGGGCCATTTTTTAAATCCTGTTTGGCCCTCAAAGGGCCCTTTTTATTTTATCACCCAGGTAATCAGCATAGTACTTGATAAGGAGTTTTTTTATCTCGCCCTCCTCCCACCCTTCACGCTTAAGTAGGCCATGGTGTCTGTTGTTCTCTTCTTTGTGTCCATATGCACTCAGTGTGTAGCTACCACTTATTAATGATCCCAGGATTATCTGTTTCCTCTAGTGTCATTTTTTTTTCCCAATTCAGGCTAGTCCTTCTCTTTCATGTTGTTGTTTTTCCTCAAACATCTAATTATCTATTATTGGTCATTTTTATTTATGCCTGCAGAACTATATTGACTAGAACAGTCGCTGGCATGGGTTTCTTTTACAGTTATACATGTACATAACTCCAAAAGGCTACTCTCTAGATTGAAAATGCTGAATACTGAATATAGACTCTGTGGAAATGGGTTGACAGGCTTCTTTTTAGGATTTCTTAGTGGGAAGTAGGCAGGCTGCCTCAAGATTTCTCCATGTAAGTGCTAAAGTAAGGAAGTTTTTACTGTGGGAGTAGAGTAATTCAGAGTTCATTTTAGAAGTAGAAGACTTTCATGTGTTTCATTCCTTGATGAAGTTACCTTTCCTTGTTGTGTTTTTTGTTTGTTTTGTTTTGTTTTTGAGACAGAGCCTCACTGTCACGAGTTCAATGGCATGATCTAGGCTCACTGCAACCTCTGCCTCCCAGGTTCAAGTGATTCTGGTGCCTCAGCCTGCCAAGTAGCTGGGGCTACAGGTGCACGCCACTGCGCCCAGCTAATTTTTGTATTTTTAGTAGAGACAGTGGTTCACCGTGACAGGCCAGGCTGGTCTGGAACTCCTGACCTCAGGTGATCTGCCCACCTTGGCCTCCTAAAGTGCTGGGATTACAGGAGTGAGCCACTGTGCCAGGATTTCCTTGTGTTTTTTTTGTTTGTTTGTTTGTTTGTTTCACTTCATATGAGGTGTAGTGTCACAATACTCTGTACTCTGCCTCTTTACTTTGCTACGATATTCATAGTATTGGCCTTCTCTAGGAAAATATTCTACTCTGTTTAGGAAACTGTACTTAGAACTCCAGATAGGAATAAATATTATAGCTAGCTACTTTGTATGCATAGAATAGGGGGAGGGGACAGCTGGCCTTATTACCCATTGACAGTTTCCAATGTGACTACCCTGATATCTCTCCCACAGCCCATTTCTGCACTTAGCATCTAATGACTGTGAGCTTGGTACCTTTCAGGGGCTCTTACAAAGTATCTCCACCTCCCTGAGCCTTCTTCCATATGTATTTTGGATGACACCAGGCAGTGTGGTTCTAATCAATACACTATGATGCTTCACAATATATCTTTACTTTGATTTGGTTGGGTCCATGAAGAATGGGGAAGTAAACAAAAGTGCTCAGTCATCTGGAACCAGAAATCCTGTGGCTATTTTCCAACTTTAAACACTAACTACAGTACTTTCCTCACTTTTTGGTTCATTTAATAAAATGTTTACAGCATTAAACTTTTTATGTATGATATATATGTATGATATACTCCTTTCAACAAACTGTTCTTAGCCTCCAGATATCGTACCACATGCTTACATTTTCTTCTTTTACCTGGTGGATGGAAATGGTGGCTAGGGAAGGGAAGAAGACCTAAGGTATTTCATTTAATATCCTTTACAGCTTTATGAGGTGGATAATATCCCCATCTTACAAATGATGAAGCGGAGGCTTAGTGAATACAGGAACTAGCCCAGTGCCATTTGCATTGTCAGTAGTAGACCTGGTATTGGAATCCAAGTCTATTTCACTATAAACCTATACTTGTGTTACAACAAGCTCCCTCCCCACCTTTCTGACATTGTCCTCTATAATAGAAAAGAACTCTGCCCAACTTAATGAATAATATTTGTAGGCATTAAAAATTAAAAATTAAAATTTCAACATGGTATGTATGAGAAGCATTGTAGTTATAGGATTTAATTGGTGATGAAGTGGTTTAGTGATTTATAATCTTTTTTCTTTGTGAAACACATTGTTTTTCAAATGTTAAGAATTCTTTCTCAATGGGAAGGCTGATAGTTTGTGCCTTTTATTTCTGTCATAAGTTTAATGAATAACCAGTAAAATTCTGCTGGAGGTAGTGGTTGTGTGAGTAATTTTTGTTGTTCATGGTCTGAGTTTGCATTGCAGGCGGTTGCTCATCTTTTTCAATCTGGCAGCTTTAATAGAATAGAAAAGCAGCTATCCTGAATGCAGTTGACTGTTACTGTCCAGCTGTAACAGTTAATCCCACAGGTACTTAGTTGTAGAGCTGTGAATGCACCCAATAAGCAACGATCTGAATAGATTGAGGGAAGTATATTGGAGAACTCAAGGAGCAGACTGGCTGTAGCAGGATAGACCCCTCAAACCAGGGCCATAGTGAGAAGTCCATCACTCTCTTCATTTTGCAGCCTCTTCTCCACTGACTGTCTTAGTCCATTTTGTGTTGCTATAAAGGAAGACCCGACTGGGTAATTTATAAAGAAAACAGTTTTATTTCACTCACAGTTCTGCAGGCTGGGAAGTCTGAGAAGCATGGCACTGGCATTTACTTGGTTTCTGGTAGGGCCAGGTGCTAGGTCAAAACAAGGTAGATGAGGTCAAAGGGGAAGTGGATACATGTAAAGAGAGAAAATCTGAGGGTCATCTTGGCTTTATAACAACCCACTCTCAAGGGAACTAATCCATTCCCAGGAGAGTCCCATGAGAGTGAGAACTCACTCACTACTCTAAGAATAGCAACAAGTCCTTCATGAGGGATATGCCCCCATGACCAAAACACCTCCCACTAGATTCCACCTCCAAACACTACCACATTGGGGATCAAATTTCAATATGAGTTTTGATGGGGGCAAACTCAAACCATAGCATACCATATAATCCACAGTTCAACATGCAGGAACACACAGAACACAGGAAAGCACATTATAGTTACAATAGATCCACTTCTAGCTACTGAAAAAGTGCACTTGGGTCCTGGGGATAGTGCATCTGACCCTCTTAACCTCTGTAACTCACTTTTCCACCCCAGCTTTTCTGTCCTTCAATGAGTTTGCCCTTGTTCCTGGGGACTGCAGAGCTCAAGTGTGATGTTCTTGTCTATGTGCTGGGTCACCTTATAAAAACATACAGCTGCTCGTCCCTTGTGTGATGTCCTGATACCCATTCTTAGACCAGAGCATCTCAGGCCTGATTCTTTCAAGGCTGATTGGACTTTCCCCCAAACAAATGTTTATTTGGTTATTACTAAATGCAAAAAAACCTTCCATTATGAAAATAATACTAAAATGCTTATGAAGATAGAATCCGATAGGGCTGGAATTTGGGAGAGGTAAGAGAGATGAGCCTTGCAAGTGTTGAATCAGCTCTCACCAAAATATTTTCTTAACATTTGAAACAAGGGCAAGAAAAAAATCTCAGAATTGCTGTTTTGCTTTTTATCACTTCAAATGAGAAGTATAAAAATGTGTTCAAAAGGTCTTAAGAGTGATATAAATGCAAAATGTGACTATGTAACTAAGTCTGGCTAATTCTTTGACTCACTAAAAATTTACACTAATTTGACCCTTTTTCCCCTAAGTCATGTAGAAAACAATAAGGTAGCAAACATATGCTGCAAGTGTCACTCTAAGCAGAAACAATGTGACCTGCTATTGGGGAGTATTTGGTTTAACTTTCCAGCCTTCCTTTCTTTTCTTAATTACCATTTACTTAGAACACAAAAGAAAGAGAAACACAGTGCTTAGCTCCCCATCACATTTATGGAGATGCCTTTTACAGTCCCAACTGAGAAAGGATAAGATGGCAATTGTATTTTACAAGCAATTAGAGGAATTTCTGGATTTCTACACACTCTGTGACTTGGCATCATGATAGAATCTAAAAGATTTTAATGTTAGTCCTGAAAGATGGTAAAAATCATGTCTTGTGATGTAGAAAATGGAAGTTTCTTCCAAAGCTGCATTAATGAGCCTATTTCCCTAAACCTCGTTAAGCCAACCATAGATGCTGTTCAGTTTCAGCCTATCTTACAGTTATTAGAAGATGATGTCAAAGTGGCAAAGATTTAGAATTTACAAGTTAAGACTTAGTGTTCAACTCTGGCCTTTGAACTACTCTTAAGTTATCTTCTAATTTAATTAAAGGCACATAACTAATTCAATAAGCTACACATATCCTGACTTGGAGTGCTTTGCAGGTAGTCTAGGAAAAGAGGAATAAAGAAACTACGTTTTTATAAATACAGTGTAGTACAGGTGTTACTGACTCCTGGAGATATTCAATTCCTGTGAATTAACAAACCAAAGCTGGAATTTGAGACAAGCCTGGAAAATTACAGATTAGATCATAGTAAAATAGGAAAAAAAATCAAAATCCAATGTAAGAAATTAAACTCAGTGTTTTTTTATTGGGGAAGGTATTCAACAGAGTGTGTGTGGTTGACCTAAAGGTACAAAATAAAGCTTGTACCTCAATTGGGGTAGCTCAAGTTTTTGTCTGCAGAAGCATGATGCTGTTCTGTCCTCTTTCATTTGGGATTGCCTAGGAGCATTCGAAAGGTGAGGATGAGAGTCAGCCATTTGACTTTATATCAATTGCTGTTTTAAGGAAGCCATTTCTTAAAGGTGTTCATTTCTGTTTCTATGTCCAAATTTAGGAATAAAATAAATACTACAAATATCCATTAAAGCAATCCCATTTTTCACACTGCTTTACAGTTTACAAAGCACTTTGATCTCCCATCATTTAATTTAACATCTGAGAGGCAGGAAGGTAGCACAGTAGAGAGTTTGGGCTCTGGGTATCTGCCTAGTAGCTGTGTGCCGCTGGAAAAATATAGTGCCTGGCTGAGCCCCTATGTCTTCACTTGTCCTAAGGGGATCACAGTACCTACTTGTGAGAGGGATTGTGAGAAATAAAGAAAGAAATGCATGCCAAATGCCTGGTGCTGTCCTGGCACAGAAGGAAGCCCTAGCAAACATGAGCTCTCATTGTTATTAATATACCAAAGACCCTATAAATTAGACATGATTATTTCTAAACTACAATTCATGAATCCAAGGCTTGGGGAGGTGAAACAACTGGCCAAATTAGCAGAAAAAAAGGATTTGAACTCAAGTCTTCTTATTCACTTATTCAAGTTTAGAGCGTACTCCAGTCCCCATACCACAACTGGTTAACTAGTGTATCTGTTTCCTATGACTTCTGTAACCAATTACTACAAACTTGGTAGCTTAAAACAACATAAATTTATTCTCTCACAGTTCTTGAGGCCAGAAATACAAAATCAGTTTCACTGGGCTGAAATTAAGGTGTCAGCAGGACCCAATTCTTCCAGAGGCTCTACAGGAAAATCCATTCCTTGCCTCTTCAGCCTCTGGTGGCTGCTTACCTTCCTTTGCTTGTGGCTGCATCACTCAGATCTCTATCTCTGTGGACACATTGCCTTATCCTTTTCTGTGGGTGTCAAATCTCCACTGCTTCACTTTTATAAGGCTACATGCGATTACATTTAGGGCCCACCTGGATAATCTAGTGTAAATTCACCATCCTGAGATCTTTAACTTCATCACATCTGCAAAGTCCTTTTTGACCATATAAGGTAACAGAGACACATTACAGGGATTAAGACATGGATATCTTTTGAGAGCCAGTTATTGAGTCTACCACAGCTAGTATGGAAAAACTTGTCTGGGCGACCTGCACCTAGCTTGGTTTCTACCCCATGCCAGTTTATTCAAATGCAAATCCATCTCTATTCTCCTGCTGGCTTAGACAACTGGAGCCTTGCCAGCCAATCTGCTCCCTTAGCCTGCTTTTGCATGAGCCTAGAACTTCAAAAGTCTGATTCCAGCTTCATCCTCAAGATCCACAATTGCCTTTCTGCTTGGGTCTGACCCTTACTGGTTTTTCATGCCTCTCCCCAACGTATGACCTGTACGCCCAGGGAATGCCCCCAAAAGTCAGGTTAATTCCATCTCATTCAACAAGGGTTGATCTACATTCTACAGTTAGAGAAGGGGATAGTGGTGGAAGGCTCTGATGCACTCAGATTGACTAGGATGTGAGTCAAGGATTTCAGGGCTTACAACCCTGGGCATCTTCTCTAGGATAATGGTGCTTTGAGGAAGTTCTGGAGAAGGCTACTGCTCCACGGCCGGTGCTGGCTGCTCTGTAGGCCCCTGTATAATAATTTTACTGATGCTTATTGAAATACACACATACACATACACACACACAACATACATGTATATATGCACACGTGTATATGTGTGTATATATAATATATATACACACATAGGATGAAGTATTTTGATGAAAAGTATAGGATATATCCGTAAGTATATGCATATATCCTATACTTTTCATCAAAATACTTTATTGGTATATTCTAATTCACATGACAACTCAAATAATACCACTCAGTGGTTCTCATGCATTCATTTACTGAGAACCTCCTCCATGCCAGGCCCCTTTGCTTGGGGTTAGGGATACAGAGGTGAATCTCCTGTGGTCTACACTCTTACATGGATCACAGTTTAGGGAGTAGACAGATTTAGATATGAGTAATTAAAGAATAGAGTGATTTTTGCTATTAGACTATGCAATCCTGGGATCAGGGTGAGGTGAGTGAGGTATACACGTAGGGCACAAAATTTAAGGAGTCTCCAAAATCTCAGTATTCAAGGTAATTAATATTTTACGGCAATACTTTGAAAAAAATTAATGGGAAAAAAATCCATGATGAACAAAAGTGCCTTCTTTTGCCATGTAAGGTAACATATTGACAGGTTTCAAGAATTGAGTCATGAATATCTTTGGGGAAGGGGCATTATTCATCCTACCACAGGTACTAACATGTGAATGAGCATAATACTTTGTGGGGCAGTGCCTGTAAAAGGGGAAGCTGGGAAGGGAGTGGCAGAAGTGAGTCCACCACCCACACTTACAGATAGTTACCTGTCTTCACATTGATTCTTGTAAGTGTTTGGGGGGTGCTGGCAGTTGCTGAGCTTTGGTTGGAAGTCTGTAGGATCTTTTCTCTTGCCAAAATAGACTAGGCCTGATCAACTTTGGCAATCACTGCTCTGGGAAGTCAAAGCAGGAGTTTGAATAGACATGTTCCACCTTGACAGGGTGCTAGCCAAACTTGGCATTATGGCCATCTGGAGAGATGACTAGTGATGTAGGTTCCATATGTGCTGGAGGGAATATTTTTTTGGATTGGTCAATGCATTGACCGCTGTGGTGTCTAAAGCTAGCAAGCTTGAAATGTGTGAGTCGATAAGAGCTGATGCCTTCAGGATGACATTCTTGGAATGTTCCACCAACTTACTGAGGGTCACAATGGACAAAAGAGTTAGTGTGATGCAAATGTTAGAGGCAGCTCCTAATAGGCAGCAGATCAAGTTGAAATCTCTAAGCATATCTTGCTTGCATTGGAAAGAATTTGTCCTAGCCTGCTTCAATTTCAAGATAAGAGCCAGGGCAGTGTGAATCTTGATTAGGTTAATGCAGAAAAAGAAATAGAATACTTAGGAACAGAAAGTACAAGAAGGGCCAGGTTTACTAGCCCACATTATACCTCTCCTCTCCTGCCCCCACGTTTCATCCACATAGCATCTACCTATTACAGAATCCTCCCAGAAGGTACATGTTTCATTTTTCAAACAGAAGCAATTTTCATAGTCTTCTAGTAGATCTTTAGTCATATTTCTATTTCCAAGTCAGGGTTACATCATGGTCAGCTAAGAAATATATCTTGTTTTTAATTTTTTTTTATTATAAGTGTAATAAATATTCATTCTAAAGAAACTGGGAAAGTATAGAAAAATGAGATAAGGGGAGAAATCATATAATCAAACCCCTGAAAAACTGATTATTGAAGTATATTTTCTTTCAGTTGTTTTCAATGCATAGTGACTTTTCTATGCTTAGTTATATACATGCATGTGGGTATATATATATATGTGTGTGTATAGATGTAGAAATAGTATATATGTATATATATGTGTGTCTGTCTATACAGGATACACACATAATATACACATATATACACAAACACATATGTATACATATATGATTAAGAGTTTTTACAACTTTTTACTCTGATTATTTCTTACCATTCTTTGTTCTCATCTATTTTGACCTGATGATCAGCATCAGCCCACACAGTCAACCACTTCCTTCTCAAAACACTTACTTCCCTGGGCTTTTCTATCACCGAACTCCTAATTTTCCTCTGATTCACTTCCCATTTGTTCTGAGAGTCCTTTGTCATCATGACTTCCTTTGACTACTGAATGTTGGAATTCTTCAGAGCTAAGACCTGCTCCTCTTCTCTTCTGGCTTTGTATTTCTGCTCCAGGTGGTTTCTCCCATTGTCATGATTTTAAATACTATTTGGATGCAGATGCCTCTCACATTTTGATCTCTAGTACGAACCTCTTCTTTAAAATCCAGGTTTACACACCCAGCTGCCTTACTTGACATCTCTACTAGAATGTTTCACAGGCATCTCACACTCAACAGGTCTACACAGAGCTCTTGACTTCCCCTTCCTACACCTGCCTCTCCAATCTTGCCTGTTTCGGCAAATGTTACCATGTTCCACGTGTGGCTCAATCCCAAATGGAGGAGTCACCTCCATTTCCCCTGCCTCTCACATCCAATCCATCACCAAGTCCTGCTTAGCCTATCCCATATTAGGCTTTGAATTGACCCATTTCTTTGTATCTCCATTGCTATCCCTTGGGCTACCTGACTATGACAACAGTCTCTAACTCTTGTCTCTTCTAATCAATTCTTTATATAAATCGATAATCATCTTTTATAAAATAAATTATATTATGTGATAAAAATTCTTAAATATCTAGCTATTGACCTGATAAATGAATTATGGTATAAACATATGATGGAATACTATACTCTTATAAAAACAAATGAAGCAGGCCGCCATGCACTGAAATTGAAAGATCTCCAAGATATATTATTAGATGAAAAAAAGTCAATATAGAAAGTAGCATATAATAGCAAAAGTAGTAACTTTTGGCATAAGAAATATAGATAAAAAATATCTATTTGTATCTCCATCATAACTCTAAAAGCCTTCATAATAAACTAATAAAATGGTTATTTGTGGATGGGTAAGGGAAATATGTGGTAGACAGGTAAAGGGGTGGGGGCAAGACATGTCACAGTAAACCTTTTTTATATTGTTTGGATTTTTGAACCATGTGGATGTATTTCCTATTCAAAAAATAAAACTAGAAATAGCTTCCCATTGCACATAGAATAAAACTAATTTTCCCTGCCATGGTCTACAAGGCCTCTGCCCACCCACCCCCACTTCCCTACCATTCCTTTCACTCTCTCAGTGCTTCTCAGTTCAAATGATCCTCCTTAGTTAATCCTATACACCATGCATTTTTCCATCTCAGTGCCTTTGTGCTTCCTTTTTTCTTTGCCTTGACTGCCATTTCTCCTGGTCTTCACATGGCTAACTCCATGAAATCTCTGTTAAAACATGACTTCAGGCCAGGCACAGTAGTTCATGCCTATAATCTAAGCACTTTGGGAGGCCGAGGCAGGAGGATCACTAGAACCTAGGACTTTAAAACCAGGCTGGTAAATATAGTGAGACCCCATCTCTAAACAATAAAAAATTGGTCAGGTGTGGTGATATGTGCCTGTAGTCCTAGCTGTTGGGGAAGCTGAGGCAGGAGGATCTCTTGATCCCAGGAGTTTGAGGCTTCAGTGAACCATAATCGCACCACTGCACTCCAGCCTGTGTGACAGAGTTAGACTCTATCCTCCCGACCAAGAAAAAAAAAAGGTCACATCAGAGATCTTGTCCCTGAGGTGACTTGGTAGGTTTGCTGCATCCTACCTTTTATTCATCTCAATCACGGTACCTTGGTCTCTTCCTTCCTAGCACGTGCCACCATTTTTCATTATTTTGTTTAAATAAATAATTTATTTGGTTGCTCATCATCTATATCTTTCACTAGACACCAAACTTCATGAGGATGGGAACCACATATATCTTTTTCACTATTGTATAACCAGCTTCTGCCTTCTCTGCCTGATACATAGTAGGTAATCAGTAAATGTTAACTACATGTGTAAATGCAGATGCATGTCATAAGCATTTAAGCCACATCACTGTAATTTTTTTAGAATATCTTTGTAATAATTGTGTAATATTCCATCCAGTGGCTACACAAGAGTTAATGCAGCCATTTTCATGTCGACATTTAGGTGGTTATCAAAAATGTATGAAAATATGCTTAACCTCAACATTGTCAATATTGCATATAGTCATGTTTAATTTTTTATTTATGTGATAGTTTGAAAAGTGATACCTTTAAAAATTTTAATTTTTCTTTCTTTGATTACTGATACAGTATTACATGCTTTCCATATGAACCACTTGGATTTCTTTTTTATGGATTGTCCTAAACATCTTTTGAATTATATCCTTCTCTTACTCCAATGCTAATGTCTTAAATCCAGGTCTTGTCATTTCTGGCCTAGATTGTTTAACAGCTTTCCTACTAGTCTTGTGATCTCTAGCCTCACTGCCTTCCTTTCAGGAGAATGTATCCTTTCTCCTAAAGCCAGAGTGTCTTTTTTTTTTCTAAAATGAATATTTGTTTATAGTATTTACAGTATTGCTTAGAACTCTTGATCCCATTGCCTAGAAGATAAAGACTAAGATCTGTCATGTTATACCCCACAATTATAGCTTCAACGGATCCAGCTAAAAGTCTTACCCCCATCCAACATCACATACTCATACTCAACCCCCTGCCACACACACACATCATGTTCATGTCTAGTTAATTACTCTCTCTGGAATACCCTTATATCCCATCTTTCATCCAGCTGGGAAACATCTGCTCATCTTTCAAGATTAGATCAAGGGTCAGTTCTTCTATGAAGACTGAGTCTCCCAGTCTTGGTAAAACTGACCACTATCTTCCTCATGTTACTCTTATACTTCAGATTTTTATCATAGCAACTGTAATACTTGGTTGTGCTCCTTTTTTCATGTTCAATTCCTAATAGATTTTAACTACTTTAAGAGACCATTTCTTATAAACTTTACCTTCCCTAGTGCCTAGCACATTTCTTGAAATATATAGTCTATAGCCAGTGAATATGTGTTGAAGGTATTTGCCATTATTTGAGTATTAGTATTTCCTTATAGATTTATATGAGTTATTTATATGTTAAACATAATAATTCTCTGGTTTACTTATGAATATTTTCATCAGCTTACAAATTGTTTAAGTTTGATTATAATATGCTTGAATAAGTTGGTTGCTTTATAGGAGTGTTAAATCTGTATAAAGTCAAATTTATTAATGTTCTAAATTATTTTTCATTATTTCTAAGTTTAGAAATTCCTATTCCCATTAGAGATTTGATAAATATTTATCTCTGTTTTCTTCTAGTTTTATTGTTTGCATTTTTTAAACATTTAACTCGGCTGGGTGCAGTGGCTCATGCCTGTAATCCCAGCTCTTTGGGAGGCCGAGGCGGGCAGATCATGAGGTCAGGAGATCGAGACCATCCTGGCTAACACAGTGAAACCCTGTATCTACTAAAAAAAATACAAAAAAAAATTAGCCAGGCATGGTGGTGGGCACCTGTAGTCCCAGCTACTCGGGAGGCTGAGGCAGGAGAATGCCGTGAACCCAGGAGGCAGAGCTTGCCATGAGCCGAGACTGCACCGCTGCACTCCAGCCTGGGTGACAGAGTGAGTCTCCTTCCCAAAAAAAAAAAAAACAAAAACAAACATTTAACTCAATAATCCATCTAGAATTTACTTAATGATGTATAATAAGTATTTCATTTATTTTTCCCTAGTTAATTAACTACTTGTCCCAATATCATTTATTAATAAACCTTTTTCCCCCTTGATTTGAGATACCTTCTTTATCATATATTTGTTTCATATCCATAGTAAGATCAGCATGGGCAATATACATGACTTCATTCATTTGTATGTCTACATTTGTTCCAGTACCCTAATGCTTTAATAATTATAGATCTATAACCTGTATATCAAATGCAGTAAGGTATAAATGAAATTGTTAATATCTGATATGATGAATTTCCATTCATTACTCTTGTTTTTCAAAGTTTTCGATGCAATGTTTTTCCATTTTTTTCTCAATTAAATCTTAGGATTACTTTATTGAGTTCCCAAAGGAGTACTGCTATTATTTTGTTTGGAATTCAGCTGAAATTATAAGTAATTTAAAAGAGAATTAATCTTCCTTTGCCACATTTAGTCTTCCAACTCAGAAACATGGTGTTATCCCCTACTTATTCAAGTCTTTTTTAAATATATTTCTCAGTAAAGTTTTAGAGTTCTCTGTTGTAGGTCTCATATGGTTCCAATTAAGATTACTCCTAGGCATTTTGAATTGCATTCAGAAAACTTCTCTGGTATGACCGAAAATGACCATGCAACCCACTGATAAATCTAAACCAGAATATTGGGGCTGATATTTTTTAGGCCACGTGGTCTGATGGCAATTGAGGCCATATAGTGTAGTGGTTATGTTCATAGGCTTTGGTGTCTAGATAGATGTGATTCTGAATCCTGGTTGTCACTTATTAACTATGTGACCTTGGGCAAATTATGTAAACTCTGTTTCAGCTGCTTCCTCTAGAGAACAGGGATACTAACAGTACCTCTCCTCATAGGGGTTTGGTAAGGAACTTGCAGGATAATGAAAGTGAAAGCTTAGCATAGTGCTTCAGACATAATAAGTGCTCAATAAATGTGAGCTAAGATGGCAGTGCTGATTAATGGTGACAACAGAGAAGAATTGGAAATAGAACTATCTTGAAAATTCTGATAGCCAAAAATCACAGGAAAATGAAAAGGAAAAATACCCAAAGGAAAGTGAAGATAAACAGGGAGAGGAAAGTTAGAAAAGAATAGGTGCTTGTGTTAGGGAGTTATAAGACTCTCTTTTCTGGTTTGAAGAATATGGAAAAAGGCTGTATCATTATAGGAAGTAGCAATAAGAACTACGCTAGGGAAACTACCAGAAGCCAAGGAGAGGGAAGGGGAAGCAATGACATGCCATAGATTTGATTCATCATTTTATTAATCACAGCATATTTTGTTTGAGAATGTCAGTAGCATTCAACTAGAAGGACAGATCACTTTTTAAATGTGTACAAGCATGGAGTAGAGAATGGGGAGAATGGAAGGGAAGGAGGCAGGGAAATAGAAGAGAGGTTGGTTCTTATATGTGAATGCTTACACAAATGTATACTTAATTATGCCATATGAACAGCAGAGTTTGAATTTTAATCTAGAGGTGTTTTGGCATGGTCAACTGCAAGGAGGAAACTTGATTTATTGTGTGTAACCTTGTTTGGGGAAAAATCAAATTAGCATCCTTAATTTAATCTGAAGTACAAACAGGAAGCTGAAGGCTGAGGAGCCCTGTAAAGAGAATATGGGAAAGTGTCATGTTGCCTAATGGTTCCTGTTCCAACTCCTTTCTATTCCCATTAATATCCCCAAGATGCCACTCAGTAATGATATTGATATGGTTTGACTGTGTCCCCACCCAAATCTCATCTTGAATTGTAGCTCCCATATTCCCACATGTTGTAGGAGGGACCTGGTGGGAAATAATTGAATCATGGGGGTGGTTTCCCCCATACTGTTCTCATGGTAATGAATAAGTCTCACAAGATCTGATTGTTTCATAAGGGGAAACTGCTTTCACTTGGCTCTCATTCTGTCTGGTTTGTCACCATGTAAGACATGTTTTTCACCTTCCACCAGGGTTGCCAGGCCTCCCCAGCCACATAGAACTGTGAGTTCATTAAACCCCTTTTTCTTTATAAATTACCCAGTCTTGGGTATATCTTTATCAGCAGCATGAAAACAGACTAATACAGTAAATCGGTACCAGTAAAGTGGGACGATTCTGTAAAGATACCCAAAAATGTGAAAGCGACTTTGGAACTGGGTAACAGGCAGAACTTGGAACAGTTTGGAGGGCTCAGAAGAAGACAGGAAAATACAGGAAAGTTTGGAACTTCCTAGAGACTTGTTGAATGACTTTTACCAAAATGCTGATAATGATATGGACAATGAAATCCGGGTTGAGGTAGTCTCAGGTGGAGACGAGGAACTTCTTGGGAATTGGAGTTAGTTGCAAACATAGTAAAAGTGACTCTTGCTATGTTTTAGCAAACAGACTGGCAGCATTTTGCCCCACCCTAAAGATTTGTGGAACTTTTCACTTGAGGGAGATGACTTACAGTTTCTGGTGGAAGAAATTTCTAAGCAGCTGAACATTCAAGATGTGACTCGGGTGCTGTTAAAAGCATTCAGTTTTAAAAGGGAAACAGCATTAAAGTTCAGAAAATTTGCAGCCTGTTGATGCGACAGAAAAGAAAAACCCATTTTCTGAGGAGAAATTCAAGTCAGCTGCATACATTTGCATAAGTAATGAGGAGTCAAATGTTAATCCCCAAGACAATGGGAAAAATGTCTCCAGGGCATGCCAGAGACCTTTGTGGCAGCCCCTCCCATCACAGGCTGCTCCCCAGAGGCTTAGGAGGAAAAAATGGATTCATGGACCAGGCCCAGGGCCCCACTGCTGCATGCAGCCTAAAGACTTGGTACCCTGCTTCCCAGCTACTCTAGCCATGGCTAAAAGGGGCCAAGGTACGGCTTGAGATCTTGCTTCAGAGGGTGCAAACCCCAAGACTTGGCAGTTTCCACTGTTGAGCCTGCAGGTGTGCAGAAGTCAAGAATTGAGGCTTATAAATCTCTATCTAGATTTCAGAGGATGTATGGAAATGCATAGATGTCCAGGCAAAAGTTTGCTGCAGGGTGAGGGCCCTCATGCAGAACCTCTGCTAGGGTAGTGCAGAAGGGAATTGTGGGGTTGAAGCCCCCACACAGAGTCCCTACTGAGGCACTGCCTAGTTGAGTTATGAGAAGAGGGCCACCATCCTCCAGACTCCAGAATAGTAGATTCACCAACAGCTGGCACTGTGTGCCTGGAAAAGCTGCAAACACTCAATGCCAGCCCATGAAAGCAACCAAGAGGCGGGCTATAACCTGAAAAGCCACAGGGGCAGAGCTGCCCAAGACCATGAGAACCCACCTCTTGCGTCAGTGTGAGCTGAATGTAAGACATGGAGTCAAAGGAGATCATTTTAGAGCTTTAAGATTTGATTGCCCTGCTGGATTTTGGACTTGCATGGGGCCTATATCCCCTTCATTTTGGCCAATTTCTCCCTTTTGGAATGGGTGTATTTAGCCAATGCCTGTACAGGCTCATAGGCAGAAGGGACTTGCCTTGTCTCAGATGAGACTTTGGGCTGTGGACTTTTGAGTTAATGCTGAAATGAGTAAAGACCTTGGGGGACTGTTGAGAAGGCATGATTGGTTTTGAAATGTGAGGACATGAGATTTGGGAGGGTCCAGGGACAGAATGATATGGCTTGGCTGTGTCCCTACCCAAATCTCATCTTGAATTGTAGCTCTCACGATTTCCATGTGTTGTGGGAGGAACCCAGTAGGAAATAATTGAATCACGGGGGCAGTTCCCCCATACTATTCTCGTGGTAGTGAATAAGTCTCATGAGATCTGATGGTTTTATAAGGGGAAACCCCTTTTGCTTGGCTCTCATTCTCTCTTGTCTGGTGCCAGGTAAGATGTGCCTTTCATCTTCTGCCATAATTATGAGGCCTCCCCAGCCATGTGGAACTGTGAGTCCATTAAACCTCTTTTTCTTTATAAATTACCCAGTCTCAGGTATGTCTTTATCAGCAATGTGAAAACAGACTAATACAGATATTTTTATTTACAAGGTCCATTATTAAATATAAGATATTCTAGATATTCTGGAGTATTATGGCATACTCTAACATTAGTGCCGTAAAAGCCCTTCAAGACCAACTAATCGAAGGGCTTCATTTGGCAGATAGCATCACTAAGGCCCATAGGAGGGAAATGACTCATGTACAGTTGTGTGGTGAGCTGGTTGGCAGAGCTACAACTGACACTGAGATCTCCTGATTCACAGTGCCTTTCTTTTCACCATAACACAGATTCTGCCTATTTTTGGAAACCCCCTAGGATATCTGTCTCTTGGCATATACTCATCCTTTGCTCTGGGACCTTCTAGTGCATGTAGGATATGTTTTATAAAAACTTACCAATGTGATTTTCTTTCTGTGGGGGACTAGGGTGATGGGAACATAATACAGACCACATATGGAGAAGGAAAGAATATTTTCCAGAAGTTAAATTGTATTTGTATCTTTTTCCCTCTAGAGGTATTTCTGAAAAGATTTTTAAAAATTTAAACACTATCACTTCACAGCCTCAAAGGCTGGCCTATCTGGGCAAGGTGTTCGAGATAGGCTGTGCCAATTCTGCTTCCCTTCTAGGCATCCCATGGGAAAATGGCTTACATCTATAGAACACTAGTTTTCTTCAAAGTATGTAATAACAATGATAATAACACTTATACAACCCTTTACAGCTTTCAAAATGCATACATACTATTTTAAAAAGCTATATTATGTTTCTGATTATACACATGTTCTTGCTCTTTAAAAAAATCAAAACTATAGAAACATACAATATAGACAGTATGTTCCATAATCTTACACCACTAGAGATAGTTATAGCTGTTAACCATTTAGCCTCTGTTTCCTGTAGACCATGTTCTTTACATGTGTAGATGTATAGTTTCTTGCTATTACAAAAGGGAGCCCCCAATATAAAGAATTTTGCACTTGATTTTTTTTCAACTCTCAATGTGTCCTGGATAGCTTTCCATCCTGATCTCTGTGTCTTATTTTTTTTTTATTATACTTTAAGTTTTACGGTACATGTGCACAAAATGCAGGATTGTTACATATGTATACACGTGCCATGTTGGTGTGCTGCACCCATTAACTCATCATTTAGCATTAGGTATATCTCCTAATGCTACCCCTCCCCTCACCCCACAACAGGCCCCAGTGTGTGATGTTCCCCTTCCTGTGTCCACATGTTCTCATTGTTTAATTCCCAACTATGAGTGAGAACATGTGGTGTTCGGTTTTTTGTCCTTGTGATAGTTTGCTGAGAATGATGGTTTCCAGCTTATCCATGTCCCTACAGAGGACATGAAGTCATCATTTTTTATGGCTGCATAGTATTCCATGGTGTATATGTGCCACATTTTCTTAATCCAGTCTATCACTGTTGGACATTTGGCTTGGTTCCAAGTCTTTGCTATTGTGAATAGTGCCGCAATAAACATACGTGTGCATGTGTCTTTATAGCAGCATGATTTATAATCCTTTGGGTATATACCCAGTAATGGGATGGCTGGGTCAAATGGTATTTCTAGTTCTAGATCCCTGAGGAATCGCCACACTGACTTCCACAATGGTTGAACTAGTTTACAGTCCCACCAATAGTGTAAAAGTGTTCCTATTTCTCCACATCCTCTCCAGCACCTGTTGTTTCCTGACTTTTTAATGATCGCCATTCTAACTGGTGTGAGATGGTATCTCAATGTGGTTTTGATCTGCATTTCTCTGATGGCCAGTGATGATGAGCATTTTTTCATGTGTCTGTTGGCTGCCTAAATGTCTTCTTTTGAGAAGTGTCTGTTCATATCCTTTGCCCACTTGTTGATGGGGTTGTTTGTTTTTTTCTTGTAAATTTGTTTGACTTCATTGTAGATTCTGGATATTAGCCCTTTCTCAGATGAGTAGATTGCAAAAATTTTCTCCCATTCTGTAGGTTGCCTGTTCACTTTGATGGTAGTTTCTTTTGCTGTGCAGAAGCTCTTTAGTTTAATTAGATCCCACTTGTCAATTTTGGCTTTTGTTGCCATTGCTTTTGGTGTTATAGACATGAAGTCCTTGCCCATGCCTATGTCCTGAATGGTATTGCCTAGGTTTTCTTCTAGGGTTTTTATGGTTTTAGGTCTAACATTTAAGTCTTCAATCCACCTTGAATTAATTTTTGTGTAAGGTGTAAGGATGGGATCCAGTTTCAGCTTTCTACATATGACTAGCCAGTTTTCCCAGCACCATTTATTAAATAGGGAATCCTTTCCCCATTGCTTGTTTTTGTCAGGTTTGTCAAAGATCAGATAGTTGTAGATATGTGGCGTATTTCTGAGGGCTCTGTTCTGTTCCAGTGGTCTATATCTCTGTTTTGGTACCAGTACCATGCTGTTTTGGTTACTGTAGCCTTGTAGTATAGTTTGAAGTCAGGTAGCGTGATGCCTCCAGCTTTGTTCTTTTGGCTTAGGATTGACTTGGCAATGCGGGCTCTTTTTTGGTTCCATATGAACTTTAAAGTAGTTTTTTCCTATTCTGTGAGGAAAGTCATTGGTAGCTTGATGGGAATAGCATTGAATCTATAAATTACCTTGGGCAGTATGGCCATTTTCATGGTATTGATTCTTCCTACCCATGAGCATGGAATGTTCTTCCATTTGTTTGTATCCTCTTTTATTTCATTGAGCAGTGGTTTGTGGTTCTCCTTGAAGAGGTCCTTCACATCCCTTGTAAGTTGGATTCCTAGGTATTTTATTCTCTTTGAAGCAATTGTGAATGGGAGTTCACTCATGATTTGGCTCTCTGTCTGTTATTGGTGTGTAAGGATGCTTGTGATTTTTGCACATTGATTTTGTATCCTGAGATTTTGCTGAAGTTGCTTATCAGCTTAAGGAGATTTTGGGCTGAGACAATGGGGTTTTCTAGATATACAATCATGTCATCTGCAAACAGGGACAATTTGACTTCCTCTTTTCCTAATTGAATACCCTTACTTCTTTCTCCTGCCTGATTGCCCTGGCCAGAACTTCCAACACCATGTTGAATAAGAGTGGTGAGACAGGGCATCTCTGTCTTGTGCCAGTTTTCAAAGGGAATGCTTCCAGTTTTTGCCCATTCAGTATGATATTGGCTGTGGGTTTGTCATAAATAGCTCTTATTATTTTGAGATACATCGCATCAATATCTAATTTGTTGAGTGTTTTTAGCATTGAAGGGTTGTTGAATTTTGTCAAAGGACTTTTCTGCATCTATTGAGATAATCATGTGGTTTTTGTCATTGGTTCTGTTTATATGCTGGATTACGTTTATTGATTTGCATACGTTGAACCAGCCTTGCATCCCAGGGATGAAGCCCACTTGATCATGGTGGATAAACTTTTTGATGTGCTGCTGGATATGGTTTGCCAGTATTTTATTGAAGATTTTTGCATCGATGTTCATCAGGGATATTGGTCTAAAATTCTCTTTTTTTGGTTGTGTCTCTGCCAGGCTTTGGTATCAGGATGATGCTGGCCTCATAAAATGAGTTAGGGAGGATTCCCTGTTTTTCTATTGATTGGAATAGTTTCAGAAGGAATGGTACCAACTCCTCCTTGTACCTCTGGGGGAATTCGGTTGTGAATCCGTCTGGTCCTGGGCTTTTTTTCATTGGTAAGCTATTAATTATTGCCTCAATTTCAGAGCCTGTTATTGGTCTATTCAGAGATTCAATTTCTTCCTGGTTTAGTCTTGGGAGGGTGTATGTCCATTTCTTCTAGATTTTCTAGTTTATTTGTGTAGAGGTGTTTATAGTATTCTCTGATGGTAGTTTGTATTTCTGTGGGATCTGTGGTGATATCCCCTTTATCATTTTTTATTGAATCTATTTGATTCTTCTCTCTTTTCTTGTTTGTTAGTCTTGCTAGCAGTCTATCAATTTTGTTGATCTTTTCAAAAAACAAGCTCCTGGATTCATTGATTTTTTTTAAGGGTTTTTTGTTTCTCTATCTCCTTCAGTTCTGCTCTGATCTTAGTTATTTCTTGCCTTCTCCTAGCTTTTGAATGTGTTTGCTCTTGCTTGTCTAGTTGTTTTAATTGTGATGTTAGGGTGTCAATTTTAGATCTTTCCTGCTTTCTCTTGTGGGCATTTAGTGCTATAAATTTCCTTCTACACACTGCTTTGAATGTGTCCCAGAGATTCTGGTATGTTGTGTCTTTTTTCTCGTTGGTTTCAAAGAACATCTTCATTTCTGCCTTCATTTTGTTATGTGCCCAGTAGTCATTCAGGAGCAGGTTGTTCAGTTTCCATGTAGTTGAGTGGTTTTGAGTGAGTTTCTTAATCCTGAGTTCTAGTTTGATTGCACTGTGGTCTGAGAGACAGTTTGTTATAATTCCTGTTCTTTTACATTTGCTGAGGAGTGCTTTACTTCCAACTATGTGGTCAATTTTAGAATAGGTGCGGTGTGGTGCTGAGAAGAATGTATATTCTGTTCATTTGGGGTGGAGAGCTCTGTAGATGTCTATTAGGTCTGCTTGGTGCAGAGCTGAGTTCAATTCCTGGATATCCTTGTTAACTTTCTGTCTCGTTGATCTGTCTAATGTTGACAGTGGGGCGTTAAAGTCTCCCATTATTATTCTGTGGGAGTCTAAGTCTCTTTGTAGGTCTCTAAGGACTTGCTTTATGAATCTGGGTGTTCCTGTATTGGGTGCATATATATTTAGGATAGTTAGCTCTTCTTGTTGAATTGATCTCTTTACCATTATGTAATGGCCTTCTTTGTCTCTTTTGATCTTTGTTGGTTTAAAGTCTGTTTTATCAGAGATTAGGATTGCAATCCCTGCCCATTTCTTTGGTAGATCTTCCTCCATCCCTTTATTTTGAGCCTATGTGTGTCTCTGCACGTGAGATGGGTTTCCTGGATACAGCACACTGATGGTTCTTGACTCTTTATCCAATTTGCCAGTCTGTGTCTTTTAATTGGAGCATTTATCCCATTTACATTTAAGGTTAATATTGTTATGTGTGAATGTGATCCTGTCATTATGATGTCAGCTGGTTATTTTGCTCATTAGTTGATGCAGTTTCTTCCTAGCCTCGAGGGTCTTTATAATTTGACATGTTTTTGCAGTGGCTAGTACTGGTTGTTCCTTTCCATGTTTAGTGCTTCCTTCAGGAGCTCTTGTAGGGCAGGCCTGGTGGTGACAAAATCTCTCCGCATTTGCTTGTCTGTAAAGGATTTTATTTCTCCTTCACTTATGAAGCTTAGTTTGGCTGGATATGAAATTCTGGGTTGAAAATTCTTTTCTTTAAGAATGTTGAATATGGTCCCCCACTCTCTTCTGGCTTGTAGAGTTTCTGCTGAGAGATCAGCTGTTAGTCTGATGGGCTTGCCTTTGTGGGTAACCCAACCTTTCTCTCTGGCCACCCTTAACATTTTTTCCTTCATTTCAACTTCCATGAATCTGACAATTATGTGTCTTGGAGTTGCTCTTCTCGAGGAGTATCTTTGTGGCATTCTCTGTATTTCCTGAATTTGAATGTTGGCCTGCCTTGCTAGATTGGGGAAGTTCTCCTGGATAATATCCTGCAGAGTGTTTTCCAACTTGGTTCCATTCTCCCCGTCACTTTCAGGTAGACCAATCAGACATAGATTTGGTCTTTTCACATAGTCCCATATTTCTTGGAGGCTTTGTTCGTTTCTTTTTATTCTTTTTTCTCTTAACTTCTCTTCTCGCTTCATTTCATTCATTTGATCTTCCATTACTGATACCCTTTCTTCCAGTTGATTGAATCGGCTACTGAAGCTTGTGCATTCATCACGTAGTTCTCGTGCCATGGTTTTCAGCTCCAACAGGTCCTTTAAGGACTTCTCTGCGTTGGTTATTCTAGTTAGCCATTCGTCTAATCTTTTTCTAGGTTTTTAACCTCTTTGCAATGGGTTCGAATTTCCTCCTTTAGCTCAGAGAAGTTTGATCATCTGAAGCCTTCTTCTCATCAAAGTCATTCTCCGTCCAGCTTTGTTCCATTGCTGGTGAAGAGCTGCATTCCTTTGGAGGAGGAGAGGCGCTCTGATTTTTAGAATTTTCAGTTTTTCTGCTCTGTTTTTTCCCCATCTTTGTGGTTTTATCTACCTTTGGTCTTTGATGATGGTGACATACAGATGGGGTTTTGGTGTGGATGTCCTTTCTGTTTGTTAGTTTTCCTTCTAACAGTCAGGACCCTCAGCTGCAGGTCTGTTGGAGTTTGCTGGAGGTCCACTCCAGACCCTGTTTGCCTGGGTATCAGCAGTGGAGGCTGCAGAACAGCAAATATTGGTGAACAGCAAATGTTGCTGCCTGATCGTTCCTCTGGAAGTTTCATCTCAGAGGGGTACCCAGCCATGTGAGGTATCAGTCTGCCCCTACCGGGGGGTGCCTCCCAGTTAGGCTACTCGCGGGTCAGGGACCCACTTGAGGAGGCAGTCTGTCTGTTCTCAGATCTCAAGCTGCGTGCTGGGAGAACCACTACTCTCTTCCTAGCTGTCAGATGGGGACATTTAAGTCTGCAGAGGTTTCTGCTGCCTTTTTTTCGGCTATGCCCTGCCCCCAGAGGTGGAGTCTACAGAGGCAGGCAGGCCTCCTTGGGCTGTGGTGGGCTCCACCCACTTCAAGCTTTGCAGCCCGCTTGTTTACCTACTCAAGCCCCGGCAATGGCAGGCGCCCCTCCCCCAGCCTCACTGCCGCCTTGCAGCTTGATCTCAGACTGCTGTGCTAGCAATGAGCAAGTCTCTGTGGGTGTAGGACCCTCTGAGCCATGCACGGGATATAATCTCCTAGTGTGCCATTTGCTAAGACCATCAGAAAAGCGCAGTATTAGGGTGGGAGTGACCCGATTTTCCAGGTGCCGTCTTTCACCCCTTTCTTTGACTAGGAAAGGGAATTCTCTGACCCCTTGCACTTCCCAGGTGAGGTGATGCCTCACCCTGCTTTGGCTCACACTCAGTGTGCTGCGCCCACTGTCCTGTACCCACTGTCCGACACTCCCCAGTGAGATGAACCCAGTACCTCAGTTGGAAATGCAGAAATGACCTACCTTCTGCGTCACTCACGCTGGGAGCTGTAGACTGGAATTCTTCCTGTTCGGCCATCTTGGCTCCACCCCTGTACCTTATTGTTTAATGGATATGTAGTACAGTTGACCCTAGAACAACATGGGTTTGAAATGTGTAGGTCCACTTATACATGGAGTTTCTTCTACTTCTGCCAGCCCTGGGACAGCAAGACCAACTCTTTCTCTTCCTCCTTCTCCTTTGACTACTCAACATGATGAGGATGAAGTGGATGAAAATCTTTATGATGATTTACTTTCATTTATTGGATAGTAAATGTACTTTCTCCTCCTTATGATTTTCTTAATAATATTTTCTTTTTCCTAGCTTACTTTATTGTAAGAATACAGTATAGTGGTAATCAATTGTTTATGTTATTGGTAAGGCTTCCAGTCAACAGTAAACTATTAGTAGTTAAGTTTTGAGAGTCAAACTTATATATGAATTTTCAACTGTGCAGGAATTGGTGCTCCTAACCCCTAAGTTGTTCAAGTGTCAACTGTATTCCATTGAAGAGATACTCTTTAATCCTTATTACAGAGATCAGCAAGTTATAGCCCACCAGCCAAATCCAGCCCACTTCCTATTTTTATAAATAAAGTTTTACTAAAAGACAACCATGCTTGTTTGCTTACATATTATTATCTATGGCTATTTTTGTGTCACAATTGCAGAGATGAGTAGTTGCCACAGAGACCATCTGGCCTTCAAAACTGAACGTATTTACTATCTACTACCTGACTCTACAGAAAAAAAGTTTTCTAACCCTGTCTTATAACAACCACCCAAGTTAAGTAAGGCACAGATTGCCTTATTTGGGTAATTGTGTGTGTGTTGGGGGATGGGTGGTGAATGTTTCTGTGTGTTCATGAATGTATGTATGTGTCCTACAAATTTCATCCTATATGGTAGTCTCATTCCTGAAATATCACGTGTCAATTGAATAATAATTTCAATGACCTCAGTTTGCTAATTAAAGAACTATTACACCAAGTGATTTGTTCTAATGAAGAGTTCTTCTAAAAAGTGAAAAGGCAACACCTAATACCATACTGTTTTATTCAGTATTTTGGCTTGCTGTAATGTGCCCCTGTTCATCTAAAACCCATATATGCCAGCACACATACTTACACACTCGTAAATACATTCATATGTACATTCACATTCATATTCACTCATTCACACACACACACACACACATACATGCACACAATACAATGTGGAATGAGTAATATCATGCCATCAGCATTAGCAGGCTTGTGCTTATTTTGGCTTTCTCATTCACCTTATCCTAGGAGGTGCCACAGTCCTCAGGTCCACTGAGGGAAAGAAGGGTTTAAGAAGTGTGGCCTGGCACAGTGGATCTTACCTGTAATTCCCTCACTTTGAGAGGCTGAGGTGTAAAGATTGCTTGAGCAAGGAGTTTGAGACCAGCCTGGGCAACATAGTGAGACCTCATTTCTACAAAAACAAAAATATGAAAAAAAGAGCTGGTTGTGGTGGTATGTGCCTGTAGTCCAGGCTACTCAGGAGGCTGAGGCAGGAGGATTGCTTGAGCCCAGGAGTTTGAGGACGCAGTGAGCTGAGATGATACCACTGCATGCCAGCCTAAAGGACAGAGCGAGAGCATACCTCCAAAAAAATAAAAAGGTGAGATGTAGTGGCTTTGACAGGTCTATGAGCTTGAAGGTAGGAAGAACATTCGGTGGAGTGAACAGCAGGAAAGGAAACCAAGTTGGAAGTGGGATGCCCAGATGTGGAGGAAACAGGAGACTGGTGCCTCTCTAGAGAAAGCTAGCCTAGTAGAGAGACCTGATCCCATAAATCAATGGTTTGTTCTGGGGCAGAAAGGGGGATAAGAAGCCATTGGCAGTACTACAGGCAAGGTGGAATGGGAAGACCAAGCACGTGGAAAAGATTGTGTCATTAATCTGAATAAGAGCAAAAAGAAAAGCCACCAGTTGTTGAATACTTCCTATGAGCTGGGCATTAGGTTAAATGCTTACCTGCTTACTTGGTTAAACCAATACTGGTCCTTCCCCTTCCTAGCTGAGCAGCTTCAGCTAAGTCACTAAACCTATCTGAGTCTCCCTTTCCTCATTTATACACTGGGAATAATAATGACACAGACATCACAGGTTTCTGGTGAGGATTAAATACTTATAATGTGCTTAGAGCATTGCTCAGCACTTACATAATAAATGTTAGCCATCATTATCTTTGTTATCATAATTTCTTTGCCTATGACTTGAGTGCTATTATGATCGCCATTTTACAGATGATGAAATAGAGGCATAGGGAGTTTGCATGACTTGTCTAAAGTGTCACAGAGAGTATGTTAGAGGAACAGGTTTTGGATCCCAAGTGAGAGTTCTTAAACACTCTACTCCAGGGCTTCTCCATCTTCCACTTGCAGATGGATCACTGGAGCATCCTATTAAAGTGCAGACCTTTAAGTCTGCAGAGATGGAACGGGGCCCGAGATTCTGCACTTCTAAGTAGCCACCAGGGGATGCTGGGTTGCTGGTCCTTGACCACATTTTCAGGAGGAAGGTTCTATTACCTTTCTATTAGAGACCTAGGTCCTCACACTGAGGAGATTCTTCTTAAGAATGTCTGTCTGAATTTCTCAACACTCTCCTCATTGAATTTAGAACACTAGCTTTCAGTGGTTTTTTTTTTCCACCTTAGATATGAGTCTCACAGAATTCAATTTAGTTTATCCTATAACTTGTCATCATTTTCAGACATGTCATTTGAATCAGCAGTACATAAATACTCACCAAGTTATCCTAGCTTTGCCAGTTAAATCGCTTTTAGTGCTTATCAAATCAATTTCTGAAATGCCAGTTTCATATTGTTAATTATTACCTTTTTACTTTTATGAAAGGTAATGTATTTTCTTTGGTTCTTTTCCTAACCATCCATTCAATAAATATGTATTACCTCCCTACCATTGGCCATGCACTGTTGTGGACACTCAGCATAGAAAAATGAACAAAAACAGGCAGCTTATCCTCAGGGAGTTGAAAACCTGTTAGAGGGAGGATAAAGAGAAAAATAAGTAAGAATACCAGCTAGCAAGTTATTGATAAATTACAATAGAGACAAGTAAATCCAGGCAGCCGGGCAGGGAGAAGGTTGTGGGTGGTGGGGGGTGAGAATAGGAGATGCTTTTTTTCTGTAGAGTATCTAGGGAAGGCCACACAAATAATGTGTCCTTTAAGCACAGCCCTCAGGAAAATGAGAGAACACTATGTGTCTATCTGGGGAAAGAATATTCTAAGCAAATATTTGGAGAAAAACCAGGAGGAGATTGTGGAAGTCAGAGAGTAGGAGGTAGCAAGAGTTAAGTTTGGAGAAGTCATGGGGTGGCACTGGCTAGGGAGTACCTTAGAGAGCTGTGGAAGAACTTGGGCTTTTACTTTCATGAGATGGGATCAATGGCAGAATTTTGAGCAGAGGAGTTTTTATAAGATGACTCTGGCTTCTGCATAAAGAATAATGAGAGGGGAGGGGTTAGGGCCAGGTAGAAATGGAACATACACCAGTTAGGAGGTTGGAAATATTTACTTTACGGTATGTTATGATGTAAGTAAGCATTTAACCACTGACAAGTTTACAGGGTTGAACTCTGTCCAAAGAATCAGCAATAAGGATGGCAAAAACTACCATTGACCAAGGATCTACTCTATTTCAGGCACTCAGATAATGGTTTCACATGGTGTGACCTCACTGAATCCTCACCACAACCCTATCAAGTAGGTCATGGCCATTTTCAGAGAAGGAAACCAAGGTGCAGAGAGGTTAAGCCACTTGCTCACGATCACATAGCGAAAAAAGGGCAAAATCAGGATTCAAGCTTAAGTCTCTAATTTCGCAATACTATCCTTCCTCCCATAATCATAAGGATCACAATTAAAGACAGATCAAAACTACTGTCAACTGTAATTTATCTTTATTCTATCTCTATCAATATGCTAACAAAATTCTGCTATTCCATGGCTTTATGACCAACCTTTAATTTGGAGCAATGCAAAATAACATAATGAGTATAAGGTCCTAGGCTGAGAAACTGGGTCCAATTTTATCAGATGACTCTCTTGGCAAAGGAGATAAGAAGTCTGTTAGCTGACCTATCGCCTTTCCAAAGCTTTTTGAGACAAACTCATTTTTGAGCCTCTTTTCCTCTAATTCTGATAATTTCATCAGCTACTTGTATTAAGGGGAACAGGTCAGTCTCCCCGCTAGACACTGCTGATTAGTTTATGCTGGAGGCCATCTTACGTGCTTGGTTGTTTAGGACGTCTTGCCTCTGTGAAGTGGCACTTAAGGCAAAACAAGGTTTTAAAGGTAAAACAAGGTTTATATTGCTTTTCAACCCTGGTGTTAGAAAAGCTTCTACTATGGATCATATGCTCATGGAATTAACTGCAGTTTTTTAAGAACTTTATAGTGAACCCACTGCATCTGGTAAATTCAATTTAGTAGACAAAAGACAAAGTCATTGCTGTAATTGTTAGGATCATATTACCTTGGAAATGCTAGAGTAACTTAAACAGAGAAAGTGTATTTTAGTTCCGGGTAAAACAAATCTAATAGACCCATTTAACTCAGTGATACTACCCTTTCATCCCTTCCATGCTCTCCTAAACATGTGTGCACACTCATGCTCATACACACACACACACACACACACACACACACACACAGGAAAGGCTGCAAGCTGTCTTTATAGACTTTCTATTGCTTCAGAAGCCACTTCCTGGCCTGGTCTTTCATCTGAAATCTCAGTATGACATCTCAGCACTGAAGGCAGTTATTTCTGTTGGTCTCTGGTTGAGAGATAGGCAGCGTCCCATCTCCAAAGCTTCATTCTGTGGGTTGGGTAGCCATGCTGCCCCTCACCCTCACCCCAACCTGCTCCACACCCAACATCCAGGAAAGAAGATGAAACTCTGGTGTGTAGACTTAACAATATTTTTTTAAAGACTGTAAATCTCTACTATTTATTGCTAGCAAATAAGCATCCTGGAGATTCACATGTATTTTCTGGCAAATGCTCACAGATACATGGCCAGCTGTTGCCCAAATTAAAGGGCATAAAGTGTCCCCTGTGAGCAAAAGTTGCAAGAACTTTATCTAGAAACTGTCAAGCAAATCTTAAGGCTTTGCCACTTAACTGCCTCATGACCACAAGCAAGTAACTTCAGCTCTCTGAGCCACAGGGTTCTCATTTATAAATGAGGTAAATGGCATTTCCTTCTTTTCCACTTGCATTGGCCCTCATTTTCCCCAATGCAGGTCCTCTGGTTTGGTGGTGAGTTGTTTTTCCATCATAGATGCACTTAAGTGCTGTTTCCAGATAATGGGAAAGCAGAAAGCCGCAGGTGAGAACAGAGAGCTGATGGGCCACATTCTCCCTGATTAACCCCATGGGAATCCTCAGGCACATTTCAAGTCCTTTGGCCAGAATACAGGCCACCTAAGACCTTGCAGGGACTGAAGGACCAGCCTTTAGGAGAAGGGTGCTGCCTCAAGTGGCCCAAGGAAAGAGTCCCACAGGCAAATGTGGGTGCTCACTCTGTAGCCTGGGCATCTTGGGTAATGTGATATTCTGTACTTCCGGATGGTGCTTTTCAGTTTATAAAACATTTTACCATCCACGATTGCATTCAAGCTTTCCACTCATGTGTGAGGTGGGCAGGACAGTTGTTACTCTATGTCCATTTTTATAGATTAAAAAACTGAGACTCAGAGAGTTGAAGGGACTTGCTCTTACATGCAAGAGTCCAATCCACAAGATGAGCTTTACTAATCATAAACTCAGCCCTTTTTCATTATCTCCCCACCTTACTGCCAGATCTGTCCCTAGATTTGAAATAATGATGCAGCTGTTTTCCCTTCATGACACCTGTGAGGAAATGGAGCTGAAATTCTCTTTGTCTACACTTAGTCCCTGATGATCTTGTGGCTTTAAATATGCACAGATGCATTTGCATCTCCAGCATGGCCTCTTTTGAACTCTAGCCTCATCTATCCAACTGACTACTTGGAGTCTCCTCTGGGATTGCTAGGAGATATTTTGAACTTAGGAGGTTCCAAACTGAAATCCTGATATTTCCCTACCCCCTGCCCAGACAGGTCATTCTTCCAGCTGCTCTGGCCAGAAGCCCTGGAGTCACCTTTGACATCTCTCCTCTTATACCCCATGTCTGAGCTATCAGCAAAATATATTCTCCAATCTAAGCATTTCGTCCCCTCCCACTCCTACCAGCCGGGTCCAAGTGGATCTCATCTCTCCCCTGCATCACTACAATCACCTCTCTGTTCCTACTGGTTCTTTCCTTTTCCCCTCAACACTTTATTCCTCCCAGAGGCAGCCTGATCACATGTGAGTCACAGCATAGCCCTCCTCTTCTCAAAACCTTCCCATGGCCCCCCAACTCACTCAAAGTCTCCACAGTGGCTTCTGAGGCCTTGCGTGATCCAGACACCCTCTAACTTCTTTTTTTTTTTTTTTTTTTTTTTTGAGACAGAAGTCTCGCTCTGTCGCCCAGGCTGGAGTGCAGTGGCGCGATCTCGGCTCACTGCAAGCTCCGCCTCCCAGGTTCATGCCATTCTCCTGCCTCAGCCTCCCGAGTAGCTGGGACTACAGGCGCCCGCCACCACGCCCGGCTAATTTTTTGTATTTTTTTTTTAGTAGAGATGGGGTTTCACCGTGTTAGCCAGGATGGTCTCAATCTCCTGACCTCGTGATCCACCCGCCTCGGCCTCCCAAAGTGCTGGGATCACAGGCGTGAGCTGCTGCGCCCGGCCCAGACACCCTATAACTTCTTAGACCTTCTCTCTTATTACTTTCCTTTGGCTTCTCTCTTTTTCTTCTTCTTCTTCTTTTTTTTTTTTTTTTAAATCTGTCACTGACTTGAAGCTCAATACTTGGCTATTCTCTTCACTCAAATTTCACTTCCCACCTAGCCGTTCCAGGAACAAACCAGACTGTTCCTACCTCAAGGCCTTTGTCTTAGCTGGTTCCTCTGCCTGGACCATGTACCCTCTTCACCCAGATATCATCAGGGCTACCCCCCCACAACTCCCACAAAGTAGTGGCTTAAGACATTTTGTTGGATGGATATCTATTGAACATAGAAAGGTGGAGATAGAAAGCCAGTGAATGTCAGAGATGAGGAACTAAGGACACCAAGTCATTCAATTCATGCTGAGACCTTAGTCCCTGCCCCCAGTGCATTGTAATTTATAGTTTGCATACCTGAATAAATCATGCTTAGGGTAATGATTAGAGACAGGATTAACAGTTGCCTTTCAAGGGCAGGGACCTGTATGCTTCATTTTTGAAACTCTAGCTACTAGCACAGCTATTAAGGTATAGTGAATGCTGAATAAAATGTTTATAGAGTACATGAAGAAATGATGGGTGATCCCATGAACAGAAAGGGGAATTATTAACTAAAGATAAAAACGCTGGTGAGAGAGAGAATAAACATCCTTAATGATGATAATAGCAAACAGTGTGTAGCATTTACTCCATGTCTGACACTATTCTAAATATTTTATACATATTAACTCACTTACTTTTCATGTAACCTTCTGAGGTATATATTTCCCCATTTTTCCAATGAGGAAATGGAAATACTTTGAAGTTAAATAGCTTGACCATGACCACACAGCGACTTAAATTCAAAGCTGGGATTTGAACCCAGGCAATCTGATCCCAAATCCATGTTTTTACCTCCCACATTATACCAAATCTAGAATTTAAGATTATTATAAATGTCTATTTTAGTATGCTGAGCCCTGGAGAGATGATTAAGGAGAGAATAACATTACTAGAATTCACTATTTTCCACTGTTTTTGAACCTTTATTAGACCAAACTTTTAGACTACCTTATTGACTAATGTTTAACAAGTCATATTTCAGATTATTATTATTCTTGTTTTTTAAAAGCTCAATGTGATTTATGAGTTTGCATACCTACATGAGTCAGCTTTAGGATAAAGATTACAAATGAGTGAGGGGTTGCCCCTCAAGACCGGAACCTCATATGCTTCATTTTTGAAACTAGCTTTTAGCCCAGAAAAGATATTGTTCAAATAATATAAAAATAAAAGGTTTTGCTCATGTGCTCTACTAAAAATATCATGGCTGGGGCATGGATTGGGATGACTTTGACCTAGGCTAGAATGCCATCTATCAAAGGAAAAGAATAGAAGTTATGTGACCTTGAAAACTACTTTGAGAACCAAAGAATAAATTTCTATGGACTTGTTCTACAGTAAAGAACTCTGCCAAGATGGGTACATATTTATTCCAAGCAAGCAGAAATTAGTGTTGTTTTCATTTTGATTATTGTTCTTTGAGCATCCTGGGGAGATAGGCTAACAAGATGTGTGTGTGTGTATATATATATATGAATATATATGTATTCATCTTTGTGTCCCCAGGGCCTACCTCAGGGCCTGGCACAGAGCATGTACTATGTGAATGGCTATGTGAATGTACTAGATGAATATATATGTATTCATATATATGTATATATAAAAGACCTATATATGAATATATATATTCATACATATATTCATATATATATATTCAAAGCCTTTTAAGCACATATCACTATTACTAGAATGATGAAGAGACTTAGAGCAGTTTGATATTGTTATCTTTAGATTACATAATTTAACATATGGGATTTAAAAGCTATATTCCTATTACACTGTTCCTTTCAGCTAGTAAAAACATTAAAATCTCAGTGAAAATTGAGTCAATAAGATCACATAATATATACTCAGCTGCACGTCTCTATTGACAAAAGTACAATGAAAACATTGTGGTCTTACATAAATCTTTCTTCGTAGCTCACTGGAATAAGTACATTCTTAGACAGTTTAATACTTTTTGTTAAATATATGAAGACAACAGTGAACTATACGTCCAGTAGATTGCTACCTAAGTTTTGTGATACAGTCTGTCTTTGTGGCCATCTGTGTCCCAATATAATTAAGTTATTGGATCAGTCGATTCTGACATGGGGTGTTCTATGCATCAATTTGATAGACAAAAACAGCAAGAGTTGAATAATCTTCTTGGATAGTAGTTGCCAAAACTTGCTATAGTCTTGCTGTTTAAGAGAAGCCACTAGACTTATGAATATATTCCATTAGCTTGGCAGAATGCATTTCTGTAACATGCAGTCCCTGATGCAGAAGTAGTCATCATAGGGATGCTGGGGGGAGGGACGGTGACATCATTCAGCACCATTCAATAGCCATTCACATAGTACATGCTCTGTGCCAGGCCCTGAGGTAGGCCCTGGGGACACAAAGATGAAGAAGTCATAGTCCTGCCCCAATTTATAGCATTCCCTTTGGCTTTGAAATAGTATCTAATAGCTTTAGCATTCAATGGGAAGCTTATTGTGGCATTGGAAGGTAAAGGTTTTGTTTGCTTTGAGGAGGAAGGCTTCATTAGGTTGTGCTGATTCAATTGCTTGACATTTTCCTTTTCACTTTTCACCAGGGAACAATGGATTTCTGTGCAGAAATCACATGGGTTGGCAGTTTGTAATTTGGGTGATTAAGGATCTTCCTAAAAAATGTGAAGCTGACAACAGCTATAAATAAAAGTTTAACTATTCGTAATTAATTTAGTCATAGTTTATGTATTACTACAAATGTTACTAGTATCACTTGTAAATATATCATTGACTTGGAAATGAAAATGACTTATTGAATTTTCTAGTCCATTCTCTATCAATGCAAAATTTTCCCCTCCTGTATTTTCTTAATTGCTTAAGCCAATCTGTCATGTTTTTAACGACTTGATATATTAATAAATTAAGGTTTGGGGCCCACAGAGGGAAAACGTATATATATATTACAGTAGATTATGTTCCATACAGGAGGGTTATACTCCTGCCAATATCAAACTTATTTACTTTTTAGAAAGAAAAACAAAGGAGACTTAAAATCTTAAGAGAGAATGTTGAGTTCAATATAAAGACTAGCAAGAAAATTATAGTTATTAAAAGGCCTTCTATTTGAGTAAAATGATCACAATTTAATATTTAGACTCACTCTGTTGCAATATTTTTATTCCTGTTTAGTATTGTAACCATTTTGGATACCACATATTTTGAGGTTTTTCCAAAATGTCCTTAAAGAAATTTATGAACAATTGACTCTTTTGGCACAGGCTGTTTCTTCATCTCTAATACTCCTGCTTTTATCCAAGACACAGTAAGCTCCAACTTTTTCACATTTCTCCTGCTGTGAACTCCAGTACCCTATATTTTTACCTAGAATCACGGTTCTGTTGTGTCCTCTGGTTACCGATCCCCTGCACCCCTCCCCCCGCCTCTCTCTCTCTCTCTCTCTCTCTCTCTCTCTCTCTCTCTCATTTGAAATGTAGTTTCCTTCTTTCAGTACATTTTTACCCTTCCCAAACTGGTGCCCATGGTAGAAAAATGACATGTGATTGGGGCCAATGAAGCAACTATTATTACAAATCCGAAGAACTAGGCCAAAGAAGAAATGAATAGAAAAGCAATGACTAGACTTGAGTATAATTAAAAAAAATAGAAAATACAAATGAATTATGACACCTGTCATCTTTTTAATATGGAATGCTGCCCAATACCCCAAATCACTTGACATTTATATGTGACTTTGTTTTCACAAACTCTTTGAGTACAAAGAGCTTTGTGATAATTACTTGGTTATTTATATTCATGTTCTATGTGGGAGTTCAGCATTATATCAAGATCTCTTTTCATTAGGGGAACTTGAAGATGACAGGAAGGCTGCTCTTTCAGCACCACTGACTCATGGGAAGTACAGAGGAAACCAAGAACAATGCTAATCTAAACAGCTTCACCTCCCAACTTGGACATGGTTCTCCTTGGGATCAGTAGTTTAGAACCATTTATTGTTCATTTCTTGAACGAAGGAACAGGCAATTTTTTTTGTTTCTTGAATTTGGAGATGGGAAACTTCATATTCTCACATTCAGATTCATGATTACCAGATTTTTAATTAATCTTACACATGTATCTTTTTTTTTTCTCATGCTGAAAATTTCAGTGGTTTGGAAAGAGGCAGGTGGAGTCCTGGCAGAGTTTGTAGAATGGAAGGGACTGGAGTTGACTTAAATGTTGGTACTTAAGAGGCACCAAGTTAGGACAAGTTGAAAATTTTAAAAGGAAGGGATGGTCAATAGTGTAAAATTCCTGATAAAGCAGGAAGAGGGACACTCTATCCATAATATTACTAGGCCGCAAGCAGGGTTCTAGAATACTGGTGCAGGAAGCCTACAAAGTCTTTGTCACTTGGAAGGTCTCTTCCTCCTGGATTCTGCAGGAATGCATATCTTCCCCTAAGTTGATCTTGTCATGACCGTTTAGGTTTAAGAGAAGGCATCGTATATTGGTTCTCTAACCGTCCATAGCAACACACTTAGGAATAGAACTGGCTTGGATTCCCAGGCCAATGTTCTTTCTGTACATTATGCTTTTGTTGTTGAACGTAGTGTTTTTAAAAATTATATCTTCATTATTTTTAATTGCTGATTAATGTTTTTCTCTGTACTTCGTACATTTTGTCTACTAGTTTTATTTAGAGCTGGTTTCTGCATATGAAGTAAATCTGAGAGAGTGGGCCCTCCTTGCCCAGATGTCTAACGCAGCCCTCCTCTCCCACTCCTCTTCTCATATCCCTCTCATCACTAAGTTCTACAGTCTTATACTACTTATTACCATTTGAAAATATCTCTTTAGGCTGTTTAATTTTTTACGATCTAATTAACTCCCCAACTGGACTTTGAGCTCCTTGAAGATATAAAATTTCTTTGTTCTGGTGCTAGAACCATACCCCAAGTTCCAAACAGTGATTATCACATAGAAGCCCTTGGATAAGGCCATTCTAGAAGTTTGTAAGAAGTTCATATTTGTCCTTTCCTCAAAAACATAATTTGTAATAAATAAATAGATAAATAATAAACTCATTAAATGGAGTATCTGCAATAAGGTAGTATGTGTTTATTCATTCTTTTTTGATCAAATATTTACCAAATTACTATTTGGGCTGTGCACTGGGCTAGGTGTTTAGAGTACAGTAAAAATGAGACATGGCTCCTGCCTTCAAAGAACGTATAGTCTAATAAAAAAAAAACAGACATGTAAACAAAAATAGAAATATTGGGTAAAAAAAACACTACGTTCAAAGTCTACATAAATCATCTCTTCCCCCTCCACCCTGGCTTCACTGGAGTCATAAAGGGATATTTAAAAAATACTGATGCCTGAAAGAAGTCAGAGACGAAAGGCCACGTATTATTTGATTCCAGTTACGTGAAAATTTAAAATAAGCAAATGCATAGAGAGAGAAAGGAGATTAGTAGATACTGAGGGCTGAGGGGTGGAGGAAGAGAAGAAATGAGGAGTGACTGTTAATGAATATGAGGTTGGTTTTTTTTTTGGAATGATGAAAATGTTCTAGAATTGGATAGTGGTAATAGTTGCATAACCTTGAAAATATACTAAAAAATTCGATTTTATACTAAATGAGTGCATTATATGGTATGTGAATTGCATATCAAGACAATTTTTTTTTAAATTCTGATGCCTGACTTTCACTTCTAAAGATTCTGATTTAATCAGTCTGGAATGTACTGTGGGCATTGAGGTTTTCAGAGGCATCTCTGGGGGCCTAGGTTGAGGACCACTGGTCTGACTACAGTGGTAGGTAAGAGAAGGCAGGGACCAACCCTGTTCAGGAGAATTAGAAAGTTTTCCAGTGGCAGAAGATGGAACTAAAAGTTAAACAAGTCATTTGACTTTCATAGATGTGACTAAGACTTGATTCGACATAGAAATAGTCTATTATTGCTAATTTGCCAAGATTTTGTCAATATCTAAGCACTAATTTAACATAGCCCCTTTTATCTGCAGTGTCACTTTTCAAGGTTTCAGTTACCTGCAGTCAACCATGGTACAACAATATTAAATGTAAAATTCTAGAAATAAACAATTCCTATGTTTTAAATTGCAAACACCATTCTGAGTTGTGTGAACAAATCTTGAGCCATCCTGCTCCATCCTTCTTGGGACATGAATCATCCTTTTGTCCAGCATAGCCATGCTAGGGACGCTACTCTCCTGTTAGCCACTTAGTAGCTATCTCGGTGATCAGATTGACTGTTGTAGTATAGTAATGCTTGTGTTCAAGTAACCCTTATTTTAATTAATAACAGCCCCAAAGCACAAGAGTAGTGATGCTGGCATATTGTTAATCACTGGCTTTGCTTAATTTATAAATTAAACTTTATAATAGATATGTATGTACTTTAGAGGGGAAAAACATAGTATGTGTAGGTTTCGGTACCATCCATGGTTTCAGGCATCCATTAGGGGTCTAGAAACATATCTATCAAAGATAAGGGAGGACTACTATATTTCTGGAGCATTGTCACTATGGCTTCTAGGTGGTCAAGCAGGTGAGATTTCTTACCTTCAAATGTAGAATATGGAATTTTATTTTTCCATATCTAAGCAGTCATATATATTCTGCTTAAATATGCATTCTGACCCTGATGTAGTAAAGTTTTTGGAATTTCACAAGGGAGTTGATAAAGCCAGTGAACATAACAAATTTTGAATAGCTTGGGATCATAAAAGATTCACTCTTTGATCAGAGAGCTTTCTAAACTTTGGTAATTTTCTACCTCATAGCTGGTAAGATGGTAGATATACAGAATCAGTATACAGTTTACAAAGGAAATTTCTTACATGTTAGCCTCCATTTGTGCTATTCTGAAAGTTACCTTAAAATACTAAAACAACACTAGTCAAAAGCCCTTTAATTTTGATTATTTTTGCAACAGAAAATGGCAATTTGCTCAAGGGGAGAATTAGGAAATTTGGTATGAGTTAGACTCACCACCCCACTTCATGTTTCACAACCTGAAATTTAGATGACAAGGCTGAATTATCCGATTACCGACTACAAATTCTTATCATTTCAGATGTTGATTAATGTTCTTGTGCTTCTCTGCCTCCTGTTACTTCAGCATTTAGAACATGATTATAGTAGACAAGAGCTTTCTTATTGGCTCGTGATGACTATAGAAACTCCACAGGAGCAAAATGGTCAGGAAAGATGAAAGAAAGAATAAGAGAAAGAGGAACACAGAGAAGGTGGTAGGGGTGGCAGAGCGACCGAAGTGCAGATTAGAAGTGGCAGCTCACAGACTCACAAGGCAATGGATCGCCACTTCCAAACCTTTGTGCTTATCAACATGACCTTAGTCTTTATTAAAAACACAGAACTCTAGTCCCACCACTAGAATTGAGTCCAGCAGATACAGGGTGAGGCTCTAGAATCTGAATTTTTACATGGTCTCACCCAGATGCAAATGGTTCCCAGCCCACAGTTTGAGAAACCCCGCAAGAGAGATGACATGACTAGTACTAGCAACAAAAACCACGTTTTGTAAATATAGAGCATTTTCACTGCATTTTTCTTTTTGCTTCTCATATGATCTTAGAAGATAGATTGGGTAGATATTGTTTTTCCTCATTTTAAAAATGAGTACCCTAAAGTTCTAGGAAGTTAAATGATCTGAAATCCAACTTCTTCTACTCTTAGATGACCAGTCCTTTTACTAAAGGAAGAAATATGCACTAAAATAATTCAGTAATATAGAGACATTCAGTGTAAGGGCAAGCCTGCCTCATTAAGAAAATGGTCTTTAATATAGGGTACTATTAAAGGGTAGAAAATAATAGAATATATTTTGTGGAAAGTTTTTTTAAAGTTTTAACATGTCAAAGTTTAAGACACTTCAAGAGCTTCCTTTCTTTAATTTGAGCCTTCACTAATATAGAATCATCTAATGAAATATTTATTCAATAAATATGCTGCATAATTGAGATATTACTGGGACACAGCTTTGCATTTGAAAACATTCTCAGTTTTGTACATATTATTTTATCCTTATTATTATCCTTTATTGTTTTAAAATGTATTTGCATCTTACACATATCTATGCTATTGTGCATGTGTAAACACAATAAGCCCATAAACAGTATTCAACAATTCCTCATGAAGTCAGTATTCTCCCATACACATTGTTGTCCTACTTCATCTACCACTTTCTAAGATGTGAATCACCCATTCAGGTGCTCACTTTTTGTTTCATCCTCAAAATTGTAATTCTTTGTTCTTGATCCTCATCCCTTCACTCTGTTGAATAAGACTCTTTAAGCTCTCTTTGTGGCCATTAACTTGTTTCTTCAGTCTTCCTTACATAATCTTGGCTGAAAAGCTGTTTTGTGGCACACTGTGAACCTATGTTGCTACATGGACTGGTGGGTTGGAGCTAGGCTCTAATCATTTTCTTCTGCCTTCATAAACTTGAAGAGCTAAAACATGAAACTACCACATAATTCTGTATTGATCATGTTCAGCCTTCCTTCCTCTGGTGACAAGCTGCCTTCTGACTATAAATCAAGAGGGCTATGCCAACAGTCACTTCCTGGCAGCCCTATACATTTTGAAGGGAGCCATGAAATGAACAAGAAACTAGTGCCAAAACGTTCTTGATCAAACATATAATTTCCTAGTGAAAAACTCCCAAATCCTTCAGATGGTCCCTTCCTTTATTGGTGTCTTTATTCCCATGGACCAATTTATTTTAACATCTTCCCCTTCAAACAATTGTCAAGAACCCCGGTGAGCCCTTCTTCGACCTTTGTATTTTGAACCCTGGCATTTTTTTTTCACTTGAGCCCACATGTTTGTAGCTTTATGTTTTGTTTCACCAATTTTGGCTCCTGCTTCTTAAGCTTACCCTTTAGAGATTTTTAATCCATGCTGGCGTTCATCTGCTGCTTTTGCCAAGGTGATATAATACATCAGCTGTATCAGCTGTGACTGGTGTGGTTGGCCATACTAGGCCTGACAGAAGAAAGCCCCAAAGTGGACCAAACTGAACACATTTAGTCCAGATAATACAGATGCAGAAAGATGGAGACTGTCCCATCAAATTCAGAAAAGCAAGAGTTTCAAGTGTAAAAAAAATAAGATCACAAACATTGGGCCCAGATGATATGGCTGTCTGAATACTATATTACCTCTCATGTAAGCTGTTCCTGGGTACCGAATACTAAGTATCTTAGTCAGTTCACACTGCTATGACAAAACACAACAGGCTGGGTGGCTTAAACAATAGGAATGTATTTCTCACAGTTCTGGAGGCTGGAAGTCCAAGATCAGTGTGCAAACATGGTTTGATTTCATTGAGGCCTCTCTGCCTGGCTTGTAGATGGCTATTTTCTTGTGTGTATTTGAATGACAGGGAGGAAGAGCAAAAGATAGAATATGAATGCAAGCTTTCTCTTGTCTCTTATTATAAGGAAAAGTCCCATCATGAGGGTCCCACCTTCATGACCTCATCTAACCCTAATTACCTCTTAAATGTACCATCTCCAAAGACCATCACATTAGTGCTTCCACATACAAATTTTGGAGAAGGGTACACAAACATTCAGTCCATAACACAAAGGGTATGAAAGACAGCAAACCCATTTCCAATAGCTCTGGCCTGGTGGACATCTCCATGTGAGCTGCCAACACTACGGAATTCAGGGCATGCCTTTGAAAGATGCAAGGGAAGCCTGGGCAGCTAAGCCCATCCCTGCATCCTTATTTCATTTGATCTTTGGTACTGCTGATCTACTGCTTTGATAATAAACCAAAGTAAAAGTGACCTCAAACCTGGATCAAACTTCATAGTTTAGTCTCGTGCAACTGTAATCAACTGTTACTTTTTTATCTCCACTGCTCTGTAGACCTTATCAGCAGGTCCACAGGCAACACATAGAGGAAGAGGCTCTGGGAGAGGCTTTGCCTCATTCTTTGCTTCATATTCATTTCTATTCCCCAACCTGCTTTTTCTAACTTTACTGGTTATTGATCCTGACCATGTGATTGCATTGACATTGAATAAAATCATTCTTTAAAGAATTTCTTTTTTTTAATCTTTCAGAGTTGTTTTAATAATTAAACTCATAAATATGCACATATTTTTAGATGGCAGGGCATTGTACAAAAATGTGAGAAAATGTTATTGGGAACTGCTTTAAAGAGCTTAGGACAATGATGGCACAGATGGGGCTCTTTCTCCACAGAATCTCTCATTCTGTCGTTTGTCTGCTGTGGCTAGGACACAACTGTCAAAGGCAGGTGACTGAATGCAAAAAGATATTTACAATGACTGAAACTGACAAGGGACTAATATCAAGACTAGAGAAGGATTTCCTGCAAAACAAACAGAAAGACAGCAGCCTAATATAAATATGGGGGAAACATATGAACAGGCAGTTCTCAGAAGGGAAAACCCAAAAAGCTTAGAAGCATGCGAAGAAGTGTTCAAAATCATTAGTAATCAGAAAAACACAATTTTAATGGATGAGCTGTTACTTGGCAACTATTAGGCAAAATTAGTAAGAGGCAATGCTAAGTAAACAGCAGAGACATGAGGGCAGAGGGGCCTGGGGCACTGATGATGGGAGAATAGACTTTGAAGCCCTGCAAAGGGGCCACCTCTAATATTTCTTGGAGATTCATACCCTGAATTCATACGTTCCAGCTCTCTTGCTGCATAGCAAGCAACTGTATACTCAGTGGCTTTAAAAAACCAATTCTTATTCTGCTCATTAGTCTTCAAATTGGGCAGGGCTTAATAGGGAAAGCTCATCTCTGCTCCTTGTGGCCAGGGTAGCTCAAAGGCTGGGGGGTGACTTGATAACTGGGGGCTGGAACCATCAGAAACTCACTCCCATGCCTGGCACTTGCTTGCTGGCCATAGGCTAGCGTCCTAGTTGAGGCTGTTGGCCAGGATCCTTCCAGGTGACTTAATCTTGTGGCTGCTCGGCTGCCACTCCGCATGGTGGCTGGGTCCCAAGAGTGAGGGGCCCCACAGATCAAGAAAAAGGTGCGTGATATTTCAATGACCTAGCCTTGGCATTATGTAGCACTGTTTCAGCTGGCTTCAACCCCTGATCAAGAAAAGAGAATGGGAGCCTTACCTCTCAATGAAGAGTGTCAAACTCACATTGTAGAAAGTGTGTGAGGATGGGATAGGTATGGTCACCATTTTTAGAAAATGCTGTCTTCTACATCCTAACCAGGATCTCTGCCCCTGGGTTTCTACCTCAAAGGGATTCTCATTCAGGTCCACAGGATATTTCTGGCCATGTTACTGCAGCACTGATTTTGGTAGTAGAAAGTTGGAGGTGAGCAAATGTCCACCACTGAGAGATTAGAGAGTTGAGACATGATACACAAAACAGCATTACCCTGACACAAGAGTATTAGCTCAGGTTGGTGCAGTGGCTCACACCTGTAATTCCAGAAATTTGGGAGGACAAGGCAGGCAGATCACTTGAGGCCAGGAGTTCCAGACCAGCCTGACCAACATGGTGAAACCCCATCTCTACCAAATATACAAAAATTAGCTGGGCATCATGATGTGTGCCTGTAATCCCAGTCACTTGGGAGGCTGAGACAGGAGAATAGCTTGAACCCAGGAGACAGGGGTTGCAAGGAACTGAGATCATGCCACTGCACTCTAGTCCGGGTGATAGAACAAGACCCTGTTTCAAAAAAGAAAGAAAGTGTTAGCTCATGGCAATGTCAATGGCTCATTAAAAGAGACAGATAGATCAACTGATCAATAGATCAATCAATCGATAGCTAGATATAGATAAAGACATGTAGATATCATATATATCTTATTTTAATAGGTCAGCAGTTAACACCATAAGATGTATAGTGCAACATCATTTGTATAAAGACACTTATACACAAAACAAAAATTCATCTTTTCTAAGAACATTTACAAAAGAAATGAATAGTTTCAACACATTAAAAATGGCATCTCATGTTTGAGGACAGGACAGGGGAATGGAGAAGGAAAAGACAAAAGAAGACATACTTTTTAAAAAGAAGAGGAGGAACCAAGAAATGGACTCACACAGGCATTCATTCAATTTTTAAAACACCACAGTTGCACCCCCCCATCCATGGTTTCATTCTCCACGGTGTCCGTTACCTGTGGTCAATCTTGGTCCAAAAATTCTAAATAGAAAGTTTTAGGCCAGGCATGGTGGCTCACGCCTGTAATCCCACACTTTGGGAGACCCAGACAGGTGGATCCCCTGAGGTCGGGAGTTCGAGACCAGCCTGGCCAAAATGGTGAAAGCCCGTCTCTACTAAAAAATAAAAAAATTAGCCAGGCGTGGTGGCGGGCGCCTGTAGTCCCAGCTACTTGGGGGACTGAGGTAGGAGAATCACTTGAAACCAGGAGGCAGAGGTTGAGGTGAGCTGAGATTGTGCCATAGCACGCACTCGAGTGCAGGCAACAAGAGCAAAACTCTGTCTCAAAAAAAAAAAAAAATAAGTTTCCGAAACAAACCATCCTTAAGTGTTAAGTTGCTGGGAGTTCAGCATAGTGCAATGAAAACTCTCACCGCCGGCTCTGTCCCACGGAGGATGGATGTCATCCCCTTGTCCTGCATATCCATGCTGTAGGCGCCGCCCACCACTAGTCACTCAGTAGCTGTCTCAGTTATCAGATTGATGGTCACAGAATCTTATCACGTAGGCCTTTTTTTAAATTATTATTATTATACTTAAAGTTTTAGGGTACATATGCACAACGTGCAGGTTTGTTACATATGTATACATGTGCCATGCTGGTGTGCTGCACCCATTAACTCGTCATTTAACATTAGATATATCTCCTAATGCTATCCCTCCCCCCTCCCCCCACCCCACAAAGGCCCCAGTGTGTGATGTTCCCCTTCCTGTGTCCATGTGTTCTCATTGTTCAATTCCCACCTATGAGTGAGAACATGCGGTGTTCGGTTTTTTGTCCTTCTGATAGTTTGCTGAGAATGATGGTTTCCAGCTTATCCATGTCCCTACAAAGGACATGAAGTCATCATTTTTTATGGCTGCATAGTATTCCATGGTGTATATGTGCCACATTTTCTTAATCCAGTCTATCATTGTTGGACATTTGGCTTGGTTCCAAGTCTTTGCTATTGTGAACAGTGCCTCAATAAACATACATGTGCATGTGTCTTTATAGCAGCATGATTTATAATCCTTTGTGTATATACCCAGTAATGGGATGGCTGGGTCAAATGGTATTTCTAGTTCTAGATCCCTGAGGAGTCGCCACACTGACTTCCACAATGGTTGAACTAGTTTACAGTCCCACCAATAGTGTAAAAGTGTTCCTATTTCTCCACATCCTCTCCAGCACCTGTTGTTTCCTGACTTTTTAATGATCGCCATTCCAACTGGTGTGAGATGGTATCTCAATGTGGTTTTGATTTGCATTTCTCTGATGGCCAGTGATGATGAGCATTTTTTCATGTGTCTGTTGGCTGCCTAAATGTCTTCTTTTGAGAAGTCTCTGTTCATATCCTTTGCCCACTTGTTGATGGGGTTGTTTGTTTTTTTCTTGTAAATTTGTTTGAGCTCTTTGTAGATTCTGGATATTAGCCCTTTGTCAGATGAGTAAATTGCAAAAATTGTCTCCCATTCTGTAGGTTGCCTGTTCACTCTGATGCTAGTTTCTTTTGCTGTGCAGAAGCTCTTTAGTTTAATTAGATCCCATTTGTCAATTTTGTCTTTTGTTGCCATTGCTTTTGGTGTTTTAGACATGAAGTCCTTGCCCATGCCTATGTCCTGAATGGTAATGCCTAGGTTTTCTTCTAGGGTTTTTATGGTTTTAGGTCTAACATGTAATTCTTTAATCCATCTTGAATGAATTTTTGTATAAGGTGTAAGGAAGGGATCCAGTTTCAGCTTTCTACATATGGCTAGCCAGTTTTCCCAGCACCATTTATTAAATAGGGAATCCTTTCCCCATTGCTTGTTTTTCTCAGGTTTGTCAAAGATCAGATAGTTGTAGATATGCGGCATTATTTCTGAGGGCTCTGTTCTGTTCCATTGGTCTATAACTCTGTTTTGGTACCAGTACCATGCTGTTTTGGTTACTGTAGCCTTGTAGTATAGTTTGAAGTCAGGTAGGGTGATGCCTCCAGCTTTGTTCTTTTGGCTTAGGATTGACTTGGCAATGCGGGCTCTTTTTTGGTTCCATATGAACTTTAAAGTAGTTTTTTTCCAATTGTGTGGAGAAAGTCATTGGTAGCTTGATGGGAATGGCATTGAATCTATAAATTACCTTGGGCAGTATGGCCATTTTCACGGTATTGATTCTTCCTACCCATGAGCATGGAATGTTCTTCCATTTGTTTGTATCCTCTTTTATTTCATTGAGCAGTGGTTTGTGGTTCTCCTTGAAGAGGTCCTTCACATCCCTTGTAAGTTGGATTCCTAGGTATTTTATTCTCTTTGAAGCAATTGTGAATGGGAGTTCACTCATGATTTGGCTCTCTGTTTGTCTGTTATTGGTGTATAAGAATGCTTGTGATTTTTGCACATTGATTTTGTATCCTGAGACTTTGCTGAAGTTGCTTATCAGCTTAAGGAGATTTTGGACTGAGATGATGGGGTTTTCTAGATATACAAACATGTCGTCTGCAAACAGGGACAATTTGACTTCCTCTTTTCCTAATTGAATACCCTTTATTTCCTTCTCCTGCCTGGTTGCCCTGGCCAGAACTTCCGACACCATGTTGAATAGGAGTGGTGAGAGAGGGCATCCCTGTCTTGTGCCAGTTTTCAAAGGGAATGCTTCCAGTTTAGATAGCTCTTATTATTTTGAGATACGTCCCATCAATACCTAATTTTTTGAGAATTTTTAGCGTGAAGGGTTGTTGAATTTTGTCAAAGGCCTTTTCTGCATCTATTGAGATAATCATGTGGTTTTTGTCATTGGTTCTGTTTATATGCTGGATTACATTTATTGATTTGCATATGTTGAACCAGCCTTGCATCCCAAGGATGAAGCCCACATGATCATGGTGGATAAGCTTTTTGATGTGCTGCCGGATTTGGTTTGCCAGTATTTTATTGAGGATTTTTGCATCAATGTTCATCAGGGATATTGGTCTAAAATTCTCTTTTTTTGTTGTGTCTCTACCAGGTTTTGGTGTCAGGATGATGCTGGCCTCATAAAATGAGTTAGGGAGGATTCCCTCTTTTTCTGTTGATTGGAATAGTTTCAGAAGGAATGGTACCAGCTCCTCCTTGTACCTCTGGGAGAATTCGGTTGTGAATCCGTCTGGTCCTGGGCTTCTTTTCGTTGGTAAGCTATTAATTATTGCCTCAATTTCAGAGCCCGTTATTGGTCTACTAAGAGATTCAACTTCTTCCTGATTTAGTCTTGGGAGGGTGTATGTGTCGAGGAATTTATCCATTTCTTCTGGATTTGCTAGTTTATTTGCATAGAGGTGTTTATAGTATTCTCTGATGGTAGTTTGTATTTCTGTGGGATTGGTGGTGATATCCCCTTTATCATCTTTTATTGCATCTATTTGATTCTTCCCTCTTTTCTTCTTTATTAGTCTTGCTAGCAGTCTATCAATTGTGTTGATCTTTTCAGAAAACCCACTCCTGGATTCATTGATTTTTTGAAGGGTGTTTTGTGTCTCTATCTCCTTCAGTTCTGCTCTGATCTTAGTTATTTATTGCCTTCTTCTAGCTTTTGAATGTGTTTGCTCTTGCTTCCCTAGTTGTTTTAATTGTGATGTTAGGGTGTCAGTTTTAGATCTTTCCTGCTTTCTCTTTTGGGCATTTAGTGCTATAAATTTCCCTCTACACACTGCTTTAAATGTGTCCCAGAGATTCTGGTATGTTGTGTCTTTGTTCTCGTTGGTTTCAAAGAACATCTTTATTTCTGCCTTCATTTCATTATGTACCCAGTAATCATTCAGGAACAGGTTGTTCAGTTTCCATGTAGTTGAGCGGTTTTGAGTGAGTTTCTTAATCCTGAGTTCCAGTTTGATTGCACTGTGGTCTGAGAGACGGTTTGTTATAATTCCTGTTCTTCTACATTTGCTGAGGAGTGCTTTCAACTATGTGGTCGATTTTAGAATAGGTGTGGTGTGGTGCTGAGAAGAATGTATATTCTGTTCATTTGGGGTGGCGAGTTCTGTAGATGTCTATTAGGTCCACTTGGTGCAGAGCTGAGTTCAATTCCTGGATATCCTTGTTAACTTTCTGTCTCGTTGATCTGTCTAGTGTTGACAGTGGGGCGTTAATGTCTCCCATTATTATTGTGTGGGAGTCTAAGTCTCTTTGTAGGTCTCTAAGGACTTGCTTTATGAATCTGGGTGCTCCTGTATTGGGTGCATATATATTTAGGATAGTTAGCTCTTCTTGTTGAATTGATCCCTTGACCATTATGTAATGGCCTTCTTTGTCTCTTTTGATCTTTGTTGGTTTAAAGTCTGTTTTATCAGAGACTAGGATTGCAACCCCTGCCTTTTTTGTTTTCCACTTGCTTGGTAGATCTTCCTCCATCCCTTTATTTTGAGCCTATGTGTGTCTCTGCACGTGAGATGGGTTTCCTGAATACAGCACACTGATGGTTCTTGACTCTTTATCCAATTTGCCAGTCTGTGTCTTTTAATTGGAGCATGTAGCCCATTTACATTTAAGGTTAATATTGTTATGTGTGAATTTGATCCTGTCATTATGATGTCAGCTGGTTACTTTGCTCGTTAGTTGATGCAGTTTTTCCCTAGCATCGATGTTCTTTACAATTTGACATGTTTTTGCAGTGGCTGGTACGGTTGTTCCTTTCCATGTTTAGTGCTTCCTTCAGGAGCTCTTGTAGGGCAGGCCTGGTGGTGACAAAATCTCTCAGCATTTGCTTGTCTGTAAAGGATTTTATTTCTCCTTCACTTATGAAGCTTAGTTTGGCTGGATATGAAATTCTGGGTTGAAAATTCTTTTCTTTAAGAATGTTGAATATTGGCCCCCACTGTCTTCTGGCTTGTAGAGTTTCTGCTGAGAGATCAGCTGTTAGTCTGATGGGCTTCCCTTTGTGGGTATCACGACCTTTCTCTCTGGCTGCCCTTAACATTTTTTCCTTCTTTTCAACTTCGGTGAATCTGACAATTATGTGTCTTCGAGTTGCTGTTCTCGAGGAGTATCTTTGTGGCGTTCTCTGTATTTCCTGAATTTGAATGTTGGCCTGCCTTGCTAGATTGGGGAAGTTCTCCTGGATAATATCCTGCAGAGTGTTTTCCAACTTGGTTTCATTCTCCCCGTCACTTTCAGGTACACCAATCAGACGTAGATTTGGTCTGTTCACATAGTCCCATACTTCTTGGAGGCTTTGTTCATTTCTTTTTATTCTTTTTTCTCTAAACTTCTCTTCTCAGTTCATTTCATTCATTTGAGCTTCCATCACTGATACCCTTTCTTCCAGTTGATTGAGTCGGCTACTGAGGCTTGTGCATTCGTCACATAGATCTCATGCCATGGCTTTCAGCTCCATCAGGTCCTTTAAGGGCTTCTCTGCATTGGTTATTCTAGTTAGCCATTTGTGTAGTCGTTTTTCAAAGTTTTTAACTTCTTTGCCATGGGTTCAAACTTCCTCCTTTAGCTTGGAGTAGTTTGATTGTCTGAAGCCTTCTTCTCTCAACTCGTCAAAGTCGTTCTCTGTCCAGCTTTGTTCCGTTGCTGGTGAGGAGCTGCATTCCTTTGGAGGAGGAGAGGCGCTCTGATGTTTAGAATTTTCAGTTTTTCTGCTCTGTTTTTTCCCCATCTTTGTGGTTTTATCTACCTTTGGTCTTTGATGATGGTGACATACAGATGGGGTTTTGGTGTGGATGTCCTTTCTGTTTGTCAGTTTTCCTTCTAACAGTCAGGTCCCTCAGCTGCAGGTCTGTTGGAGTTTGTTGGAGGTCCACTCCAGACCCTGTTTGCCTGGGTATCAGCAGCAGAGGCTGCAGAACAGTGAATGTTGGTGAACAGCAAATGTTGCTGCCTGATATTTCCTCTGGAAATTTTGTCTCAGAGGAGTACCCGGCCGTGTGAGGTGTCAGTCTGCCCCTACTGGGGGCTGCCTCCCAGTTAGGCTACTTGGGGTTCAGGGACCCACTTGAGGAGGCAGTCTGTCTGTTCTCAGATCTCAAGCTGTGTGCTGGGAGAATCACTACTCTCTTCAAACCTGTTAGACAGGGACATTTAAGTCTGCAGAGGTTTCTGCTGCCTTTTGTTTGGCTGTGCCCTGCCCCCAGAGGTGGAGTCTACGGAGGCAGGCAGGCCTCCTTGAGCTGTGGTGGGCTCCAACCCAGTTCGAGCTTCCCACCCGCTTTGTTTCCCTACTCAAGCCTCAGGAATGGTGGGCGCCCCTCCCCCAGCCTCGCTGCCGCCTTGCAGTTTGATCTCAGACTGCTGTGCTAGCAATGAGTGAGGCTCCGTGGGCGTAGGACCCTCCGAGCCAGGTGCAGGATCTAATCTCCTGGTGTGCCGTTTGCTAACACTCTCAGAAAAGCGCAGTATTAGGGTGGGAATGACCCGATTTTCCAGGTGCCGTCTGTCACCCCTTTCTTTGGCTTGTAAAGGGAATTCCCTGACCCCTTTTCGCTTCCAAGATGAGGCGATGGCTCGCCCTGCTTCGGCTCACGCTCGGTGCACTGCACCCACTGTCCTGCACCCACTGTCTGACAATCCCCCGTGAGATGAACCCCGTACCTCAGTTGGAAATGCAGAAATCATTCATCTTCTTCATCTCTCATGCTGGGAGCTGTAGACTGGATCTGTTCCTAATCGGCCATCTTGGCTAAACTCCAAGAATTTATTTAAGCTCCTACTATGTGCCAGGTGCTGTTCTGAGCACTGAATATACAACAGTGAACAATAGAGATAGAAACTCTGCCCTGGTGATGCTGACATTAAGCAGAATATTAGATCGCAAGAGGTACCAAGCAGGGAATGGGGATAAGCAGTGCTAACGGCCACTTCAAACAGAAACTTGAACAAATTTATAAGAAAACAACAAACAACTCCATTAAAAAGTTGGCAAAGGACATGAACAGACACTTCTCAAAAGAAGACATACACATGGTCAACAAGTATATGAAAAATAGCTTAACATCACTGATCATTAGGGAAATGCAAATCCAAACCACAATGAGATACCACCTCATGCCAGTCAGAGTGGCAATTATTAAAAAGTCAAGAAACAGCATATGCTGGTGAGGCTGCAGATAAATAGGAATGCTTTTACACTGTTGGTGAGAATATAAATTAGTTCAACCATTGTGGAAGACAGTGTGCAATTCCTCAAAGACCTAGAACCAGAAATACCATTTGACCCAGCAATCCCATTACTGGGTATACACCCAAAGGAATGTAAATCATTCTGTTATAAAGACACATGCACACGTATGTTTATTGCAGCACTATTCACAATAGCAAAGACATAGAACCAACCCAAATGTCCATCAATGATAGACTGGATAAAGAAAATGTGGTACATATACCCCATGGAACACAATGTAGCCATAAAAAGTAAGGAGATCATGTTCTTTGCAGGGACATGGATGGAGCTGGAAGCCATTATCCTCAGCAAACTAACAGAGGAACAGAAAACCAAACACTGCATGTTCTCCTTTATAAGTAGGAGCAGAACAATGAAAACACATGGACACAGTGAGGGGAACAACACACATTGTAGCCTGTTAGGGTGGGGGTATGGTGGGAGGGAGAGCATCAGGATAAATAGCTAATGTATGTGTGGTTTAATACCTAGGTGATGGGTTGATAGGTGCAGCAAACCACCAAGGCATAAATTTTCCTATGTAATAAGCCTGCACATTCTGCACATGTATCCTAAAACTTAAAATTTAAAAATGAAATGAAAGAAAATTTTTAAAAATTGGATAGTGGTAATGGTTGCACAACTCTACGATAATGTATTAAAAACCACTGAATTTTGTACTTTATAGGGATGAATTTTATGTTATGTGAATTACCTCTCAATAAAGTTATAAAATAAAGAGGAAAGCCTGGCCAACAGGGCCTCTAGAGCTTTACTTCAAGTAATAAATTGTGAAAACTCAGCATGTGATACATGTGACAGGCCCACTCTTTAGGAAAAAACATGGAGCACACTGAGAGGTGGGAGAGTGAGTGAAAGAAAGAGGATGAGTAAGTGTTTCATCTCCCCCACCCACCCCATAAGGGTGGACTTTGTGGGGAAATGGAGGTTTGACAAAAATATTCCAACCAGATTTTTGGGGAAGTTGCCAACAGAGCAGATATATGCCATCTTCACTGTCTGAGACTCTGGAAGACCACCTTTAAGAGTGTCCCTCACCAATAAGGAGTGATCATAACAGAGGAGGAATGGATACAAAGAGAAGGCCACTTCTTCCATAGCTCCTACCTGGCATAGAGGGATCCAGAAGTCTTTACATGCTCCCAGTGAGGGACATGGAAGGTAGCTGAATGTTGAGAGCCAAGATGACTCCATGGCAGAGGCTACAGGTGGCCAGCCTAATCCAGGGCTGGTAGAATCATGTGGCTGAGACACAGAGGGCCTCAAGGGCAGTCATAGGATAAGGCAGGGCCTACTAGACAGGATGGAGAGCAACATCATGCCTGGATTGAGATGACAGGACAAGCGGTATTTCATTAGCCCTGTACCTCATTGTTGGTTGCCAGGAAGGTGGAGTATCTGAGGACATTACTATAGAGGCCATGAGCATTCTCACAAGGATCTCCTTGCCAACCTCTGTTGCTATCTTGGGAACAAAGGATGTAGGGATGGGTGGTGAAACTCTGGAACACTCAGCATTTACCTAAAGGGACTAAGTTAACCTAGAAGAGACTATTTTTGATGGAAGGAGACTGCATACCCACTAATTAGAAGATTTTAAGATACTCCTCATCACCATTATTTATTGGAATAGGGACTTCAGATAGAGATAAGAACACTTATCAGAGTTTCTTGACCAATCATTGACACTCTGGGTAAGATAATCCTTTGTTATGCAGGATTGTCCTGGGCATTGCAAGATGTTTAGCAGCATCTAAGCCTTCTACCCATTAGATGCCAGTAGTCACTCTACCCTCCATTCTGGAAGTCACAAAAACCTCTCCCTTCAAGAGTAAAATTGCCCCCAGCCAAGAAACATTTCATTTTATGCATTCTATACACATCTGAGGACAGAGGGCTCATTTTTCCACCCCTCTCTCTACCTACATGTTCTAGCTCAGGACTCAAATATCCTACATGATGTGAGACAAGCAAACTTCCTCTCCTGTGTGACTTCTTCCTCCTGTTGAACAATGCAAAGAGCCTGAAGGCCATGCCCTTTCCTGCATAATACATGCCCTTCTTTGTATTCAGCTTTGTTTCTTATACTAAAATTACATCCTGTTTCTTTGCTCTCAGAGCCCCACAGGCTGTGTCTCAAGCTTCCTGTGTTCTGATATGATTGTATTACCTGTTCTGAGATGTGCTTTCTGCCACTAGTGTGATTTTAATTCATCCTTCCAGGTTTCCTTTGCCCTCCTGCATTTTTCCCCCTCCTACACTGCCTCCCATAGCGGCTACTCTTACCTCAGCACTCCTCTTTATTTCTTCTTTTTTGAGTTGGGTCCATCTCTCTTGGCTCTACTCAGCCCTTTTAATCTTGGTTTATTTTCCAATGGATTCTGGGAGGTGCCCATCCCCTACCTGCTCCACCTCCACCCTGCTGACCTCCTCTGTAGAATCTGATGAGCCATTGCTACTGAATGAGGAAAGGCTTAACCTTCCTTTCCCCACCCCATATTCCTTTCCCTGGCCCCTCTTTTTCCTCCATAGCTTCTGTCTCTGTTTTTATTCTTTGTTTCTTGTCCACCGCAAGGTAAAATTCAGCCTCTTCCTTATGTTCCCCATCTCACCCTTGCCCACATTTGTGACATGTCTGTGGTCTTCCCTTTGTCATGTGAAGAACGGCAGTGGGATAGAGAGCCTAGTGAAGAGGATGCACGCAGTGCCGGGAGTCAGTCATTCAGACAGGGACATAGGTCTTGGAACTTATACATTTCTCAGCTGTGTAAAATATGGGTAATAAGAGTACCTAATCCATAGGGGCACTGAAGGATTCAATGAGTTTGCAGTGTACAACGTTTAGTACATTCTAAACTGTATGCCCTGATATCTAGTGGATATGCAGTGAATGTTTGTCAAATGGCTAAAATTTTGCATGATATGCAGCCCAAGGCCTGGCACATAGTGAATGCTCAAAGTAAAAATGTTCTTCACCTGAACTGAATCAAACTCTCTTTTCGATATTAGATTTGATGGTCCGGACCTCAAAGCCAAACCTTACTTTCTTCATAAGTCACAGTCTTTTCTTCTTCAGGTTGTAACTTCTCCTATGTCTATAATTTGATTCCTCAAGAAAGCAAAGATGCTACCTTAACCTACTACACAGAATCCTTCCCAAACTATTCTTACTGACTCTTCTCCTAGTGTACCCTACAAAGTAAACTCATTATTTTTCTGCTGATTTGAAGCTTATATCAAACTTTACGGGAATTTAATCACGACAAATTTGTCCCTAGGGTACATTGCCAATTGGATTAGTAATCAGGATCCCCTGCACATAATCTCTGTGCAGCTTTTGAAGCAGATCCACATGCCAAATCTTCCCTTGGAGGACTCTCCCTGCTCTCCTCCTCCTCAATGTGGAAAAAATTTCTTATCTTTTCTTCTTTGTCAGCTTCTCTTCTGCCTGTATCTCTCATGGAGGGCTAAGGAGAGATGCCACTGACGTTAACTGCCTCCTTTTTACCTCCTCCTTGCTCCCCATTATTTTATACCTCTGTCCTCCACCCTGCTGCCATTCTTCAGACTTTTTTCTTTTCCCTCTGATTATTAAACTGAATTTAATCCTGCTGGATAAATTGAGCGGGTGGTATTAGATCCGTTGCCAGATGAGGAAAGTCAGAGTGGCACATTACCACCATTGTTCAAGTGATAGAATAGCACAGCACTGCTGGAATCCAGATTAGACATGAAGGTCCCGCCTCTGAGCCTGTGGATTTTTCACTTTGTCAAAACCATATTGACTTCAAACAGAGTGTCAGTGGACATTACCAATCTCTACAAAATCTAAGATATGTTGTGTTTTTATCGTTAAAGGTTGTTACCCATAATGAAGAAAGGATTCATATTAGTCTAATACTTCTATAGAGCAGTGTTCAAAATCATTAGTGTTTTATCTCCATATTTGTCATTTGTTATTTCAAAAATTATTTATGTACATAAACAGGAAACAGTAACTACAATTTTATAGCACTTCAAATTTACAAAGTCATTTTATAACCCATTGTTTCATTTGCATCCTCAAAACAATCTTGCAAAGAGTGCATTGTTAACCCTATTTTACAGATCTTGAAACTGAGGCTCAGAAAACTTCAATAATTTAATGCAAGACACTCAGTTAGGAAATGACAGAACCTTGAGTTGGAAACTTTTCTTCCTGATTTCAAAGCTCATGCCCTTTCAGTTTGAGCATTTTACTTCACACATGAAGGGGCTGTGCTTCTAAAACCCATTTAGCTTAGTTTATGAATATTTATTGTCAAGAGTAGAAATGCGTCAAATTTACAGACAAACAATGTAAGACAAATCAGTAATATTATGTTTAGCTATTGATGTGAGATGATGCCACTTGCAGAAATAAAATTCTTTACAGGCAATAGATCTTTTTCATGACTAGGCTTTGCTAGATCTTATAATTTTGTAAATAGCACCAAAATAAAGGAGTTGGGTTTATTAGGGTAATTAAACAAGTTGATTTAGTCCCCAGTTGAGCACAGTGGGCCAAGGCTCGCCTGACTGCTCACTCACAGTGCACTAAAGGCCTGTGACAGCGTATGGGGAAAACAAACTGGGCTTTGCAGACCTGCATGTGAGGCACCTGCATTTTCAGCATTGGGGGCTTGATCAGGATTTCCATAATGAAGTTAGAAGACAGGAAGATCTGAGACTAGATTATACAGCTCGTTGAAAATTCAAACTCTGTTTCTATGAATTATTAGAATAGGTTTAATCCCCAAGTTAAAAGGTTACATGCCTGAATTCATTTTGTATAGGGAGATGAAGTTCCCTTTCAGTTTTGAGTTTGTGGATGGACCAGATGGCACGTACCTGCCCAGAAGGCCAGGTGGCACAATGAGGGGGTAGATGCTTATGTACACGTTTCTGGATAGAGGTTTTGTAACTTCCATGAGTTTCACAAAGAGGGCAGGGATTGGTTAGCCACTGATAAAGAGGGCAGTTGATGCATTGGGAGTGAGTAAGCACACCTGGAGGGAGTGGGAATAGAGGAAGGTCCCAGGCAGAACCTAGAAAATCGACCAACTATAATACATATCAGACATTTTAATAAAATTATTCTCAAATCAGTGTCACATGAATTACAGATGGTGTGATTGGACATCACAATGATAAAGGTGGTGGTGATTCCTGGTGACTTTTGATTTTGGGCCTATGGATGTATTATATGTGATGCATAAACCCCTTCAAATTAGATGCAAAACTTTGTGTATATGTGCATATAAGCATGTCTAGGGAGAGGAGCTCTAGATTTCCTCAAAGTCTTAGAGAGGGTACGTGACCCCTTTGAAGGTTAGGAATCACTGTGGGGATGAAGCAAGATGGCAGAATAGAAGCCTCCATCATTATTCCTCCCCATTGGAACAACAAATTTTAACAATTATCTGCACACAGAAAACCAATGTCACAAGAACCGAAAATTAGGTGAGTAATCACAGTACCTAGATTTCACTTCATATTACTGTAAGAGACATTGAGGAGAGCAGGAGAAACAATCTTCAATTGCCAACACCACCCCTTCCCCATCCTGCAGCAGTGGCCATGCAGCATGGAGAGAGAATCTGCACCATGGGGAGGGAGAGCACAGAGACTGGGGAACTTTACGTTGAAATCAGTGTTGCTCTGTCACAGCGGAGAATAAAGCCATGCTGGGTTCAACTAGCACCTGTGCATAGAAGGATCATTTGGAAAAGACCTGGCCAGAGGGACATCATCCATCCCAGGGGTTCGAACATGAGTTTCTCAGCAAGCCTCGCCACCACGGGCTGAAGTGCTTTGGGGTCCTAGGTAAACTTAAAGGCAGTCTAGGACACTAGGACTACAATTTCTAGACAACTGCTAGTGCTAGGCTGGGCTTAGAGCCAGTGAACTAGGGTGGCACATGATCTAGGGAGACACCAGCTGGTGTGGCTAAGGGAGGGCTTGCACCATCCCTCCCCCAGCCCTCAGGCAGTGCAACTCAGAGCAACAAAAGTGACTCCTTCCTTCTGCTTAAAGAGAGGAGAGCAAAGGGTAAAGGGGACTTTGGTTTCCGCCTTGGATACCAGCTCAACCATAGTAGGATAGGGCATTAGGCAGAGTTCTGAGGCCCCCATTTCAGGACCAAGTTCACAGATGAAATTTCTAGTCACACCCAGGGCCAAAAGGGAATCTACTGCCTTGAAGGGAAGGACCCAGTCCTGGCAGGATTTATCACCCACTGACTAAAGAGCCCTTGGGCGCTGAATAACCAGCAGTGATGCCCAGGAAGTACACCATGGGCCTTGGGCTTTAAGACCTGCTGACTACAGGTGTGGCCCAGCATATTATGAGCTGTGGTGACTATGGTGAAAGACTCCTTCTGTTTGAGAAGAGCAAAGGGAAAAGTAAAGGGGACTTTGTCATGCACCTTGGGTACCAGCTCAGCCACAATAGGGTAGAGAAACAAGCAGGCTCTTAGAGTCCCCGAGTCCAGACCTAGGCCCTTGGACCGCATTTCTAGACCTGCCCTTGGCCAGAGGGGAGCCCACTGCCATAAACAATGAGTCCCAGGCGTGGTAGCATTCACCACAAGCTGATGGAAGAAGCCTTGGGCTTTAGGTAAACATCAGCAGTAGCCTGGCAGAACCTCCATTGACCGGTGGTGGTGGCCACAGAGAGAGGCTCCTCTACCTGTGGAAACGGGAGGGCAAAGTGGGAAGGACTTTGCATTCTGGTGTAAGTACCAGCTTAACCTCAGAATAGAACACTAGGTAAACTGCTGAGGTAAACTGCTGAGGTAAACACTAGGTAAACTCCAATACCTGGCTCCCAGACAGCATCCCTGGACATGCCCAGGGCCTGAGGGAATGCACCACCCTGAAGAACAGGGCCTTGGGCAAGATCCAGTGCTGTGCTGGCCTCAGGTCTCACCCTGAAGCCACAGGGGTGCTTGTATCACCACACCCTCAGCTCCAGGTGGATCAGCACAGAGAGAGACTCTATTTGTTTGGGAGAAAGTAAGGGAAAAGAACAAGAGTCTCTTCCCAGAAATCCAGAGAATTCTTCCAGATCCTATACCAGACCACCAAGGCAGTACCTCTACAAGTCTGTTATAACCACAGTGTTAGCAGACTTGGGCCCAATTTCCTTCAAATACCTGGGAAGCCTTTCCAAGAAGGACAGGCATAAACAATCCCAGACTGTGAAGAATACAATAAATATCTAACTCTTGAATGCCCAGACACCGACAAACATCTACAAGCATCAACATCATCCAGGAAAACATGACCTCACCAAATGAACTAAATAAGGCACCAGGGAACAATCCTGGAGAAACAGATATGTGACCTTTCAGACAAAAAATTCAAAATAGCTGTCTAGAGGAAACTCAAAGAATTTCAAGGTAAAACAGAGAAGGAATTCAGAACCCTGTCAGATAAATTTAACACAGAGATTGAAATAACAACAACAAAATAAAGCAGAAATTCCAGAGTTGAAAAATGCAATTGACATGCGAAAGAATGCATCAGTCTCTTAATAGCAGAAGTGATCAAGCAGTAGAAAGAATTACTGAGATTGAAGGCAGGCTATTTGAAAAAAACACAGAGAAGACAAAATAAAAAATAATAAAAAACAATGAAGCATGCCTACAGGATGTAGAAAATAAACGCAAGAGGGCAAATCTAAATGTTATTGGCCTTAAAGAGGAGGTAGAGAGATAGATATAGAAAGTTTATTCAAAGGGATAATATCAGAGAACTTCCCAAACCTAGACAAAGATATCAACATTCAAGTACAAGAAAGTTATACAACACCAAGTAGATTTAACCCAAAGAAGATGACATCAAGGCATTTAATAATCAAACTCCAAAAGGTCAAAAATAACAGATCATAAAAGCAGCGAGAGAAAAGAAGCAAATAACATACGATGGAGTTCCAATATGTCTGGCAGCATACTTTTAAGTGGAAGCCTTACAGGCCAGGAGACAGTGGCATGACATATTTAAAGTGTTGAAGGAAAAAAGTTTTACCCTAGAATAGTATATCCTGCAAAAATGTCCTTCAAACATGAAGGAGAAATAAAGACCTTTCCAGACGATATGGATTGGCTCTGTGTCCCCACTCAAATCTCATGTTGAATTATAATTCCTAGTGTTGAAGGTGGGGCCTGGTGGGACGTAATTGGATCACGGGGGTGGTTTCTAATTATTTAGCACCATCTCCTTAGTGCTATCTCATGATTAAGTTCTCATGAGATCTGGTTATTTAAAAGTATATAACACCACCCCCTTTACTCTCTCTCTCCTGCTCCACCATGTGAAGATTGCATCTGTTTCCCCTTCTGCCATGATTGTAAGTTTCCTGAGGCCTCCCAAGCCATACCTCCTGTACAGCATGCAGAACTGTGACTGAATTAAACCTCTTTTCTCCATAAATTACCCAGTCTCAGGTATATTTTTATAGTGTGAGAACAGATTAATACACCAGACAAACAAAAGCTGTGAGACTTTGTCAATACCAGACCTTTCCTACAAGAAATGCTAAAGGGACTTCTTCAATCAAAAAGAAAAGGATGTTAATGAGCAGGAAGACACCATCTGAAGGTACAAAATTCAATGGTAATAGTAAGCACACAGAAAAGCACAGAACAGTATAACACTGTAATGGTGGTGTGTAAACTACTTTTGTCTTAAGTAGAAAGACTAAATGATGAACCAATAAAAATGATAAGTACAACAACTTTTCAAGACATAGATAGTAAAATAAGACATAAAGAGAAACAAATTAAAAAGCAGAGGGATGAAGTTAAAATGTAGATATTTTATTAGTTTTCTTTTTGTGTGTTTGTGTCTTTATTTGTATGTGCAATCAGTGTTGTCATCAGTTTAAAACAATTGGTTATAATGGTATTTGCAAATCTTATGGTAACCTCAAATTTAAAAAATGTGCAACAGATACACACACACACACACACACACACACACACACAGAGCAAGAAATTAAAGCATGCCACCAAAGAAAATAATCTTTGCTAAAAGGAAGACAGGAAGGAAGAGAAACCTTCAAAACCACCAAAAAAAGAATGTCAGGAGTAAGTCCCTACTTATGAACAATAACATTGAATGTAAGTAGACTAAATTCTCCAATGAAAAGACACAGAGAGGCTAAATAGATGAAAAAACAAGACCCAATAATCTTTTGCCTACAAGAAACACACTTCACCTATAAATATACATATAAACTCAAAATAAAGGAAGGGAAAAAGATATTCTATGCCAATGGATAGCAAAATGGAGCAGGAGTAGCTATACTAATATCAGACAAAATAGGTTTCAAGAAAAAAACTGCAAAGAAGAGACTAAGAAGGTTATTATATGATGATAAAAGGGTTAATTTAACAGGAGGATATAATGATTATAAATATATATGCACACAACACTGGAGCACCCGGATATATAAAGCAAATATTAATAGAGTTAAAGGGAGAGGTAGACACCAATACAACAGTAACTGGAGACTTCAACACACACTTTCAGCATTAGACAGAAGTCCAGTCAGAAGATCAATAAAGAAATATCAAATTTAATGTGCACTATGGAACAAATGGACCTAATAGATATTTACAGAACATTTAATCCAATGGCAGAATACACACTCTTCTCCTCAGCACATGGATTATTCTCATTCTGTAACCACAATGGAATAGAACTAGAAATCAATAACAAGACAAATTTTGGAAGCTATAGGAACACACAGAAATTAAACAATATGCTCTTGAGTGATCAGTGGGTCAATGAAAAAGATAAGAAGGAAATTGAAAAGTTTCTTAAAACAAATGAAAAAGGAAATACAACATACCAAAACCTATGGGATACAGGAAAACCAGTACTAAGAGGGAATTTTATTGCTATAAATGCCTACATCAAAATAAAAGAAAACTTCAAATAAATAATCTAATAATGAATCTTAAAGAATTAGAAAAGCAAAAGCAAGCCAAACCCTAAATTAGGAGAAGAAAATAAATAATAAGGATCAGAGCAGAAAAAAAATGAATTTGAAATGAAGAAAACAATACAAAAGATCAATGAAACAAAAAGTTGGTTTTATGAAAAGATAAAATTGACAAACCTTTAGCCAGACTACAGAAAAAAGAAGACCCAAATAGAGACAATCGGAGATTTTAATAAAGGAGATATTACAACTGAAACTCAAAGGATCATTAGTGGCCCCTATGAACAATTATGTGCCAATAAATTGGAAAATCAAGAAGAAATGGATAAATTCCTAGACACATACAACCTACTAAGATTGAACCATAAAGAAACCCAAAATCTGAGCAAACCAATAACAAGAAATGAGATCTAAGCTGTAATAAAAAGTCTCCCAATAAAGAAAAGCCTGAGACCCAATGGCTTCACTGCTGAATTCTACCTAACATTTAAAGAAGAACTGATACCAATCCTACTATAACTGTTGTGAAATGGAGGAGGAGGGAGTACTTCCAAACTCATTCTATGAGGCCAGTATTACCCTGATACCAAAATCAGAGCAAAGACACATCAAAAAGAAAGAATGGAAGAAAGGAAGAAAGGAAGGAAGGAAGAAAGAAAGGAAGGAAGGAAGGAAGGAAGAAAGAAAGAAGGAAAGAAAGAAAGAAAGAAGGAAAGAAAGAAAGAGAAAGAAAGAAAGCAAGAAAGAAAACTACAGGCCAGTATGTCTGATAAATATTGATGCAGAAGTCCTTAACAAAATACTAGCAAACAAAATTCAGCAATACATTAAAAAGATCATTCATCATGACCAAGTGATATTTATCATAGGGAGGCAAGGGTAGTTCAACATACATAAATTAATCAATATGATACATCATATCACCAGAGTGGAAGACAAAAATCATATGATCATTTCAATTGATGCTGAAAAAGCATTTGATAAACTTCAACATTCCTTCATGACAAAAACCCTCAAAAAATGGGTATAGAAGGAACATACCTCAACATTATAAAAGCTGTATATGACAGACCCACAGCTAGTATCATACTGAATGGGAAAAACTGAAAGCTATTCCTCTAAGACCTGAAACATGACAAGGGTGCCAACTTTCACCACTGTTATTTAACATAGTACTGGAAGGCCTAGCTAGAGCAATCAGACAAGAGAAAGATATAAAGAACATCCAAATTGGAAAGGAAGAAGTCAAATTATCCTTGTTTGCAGATGATATTATCTCATATTAGGAAAAACCTAAAGAGTCTACACAAAAAAACTATTAGAACTGATAAACGAATTCAGTAAAGTTGCAGGATACAAAATCAACATACAAAAATCAGTAGTATTTCTGTATGCCAACAGTGAACAATCTGAAAAAAAAATGGAAAGTAAGCCTATTTGCAATAGCAACAAATAAAACTAAATAACCGTTAATTAACTTAGCCAAAGAAGTAAATAATCCCTACAAGGATAACTACACAAAGCTGATAAAAGAAATTGAAGAGGACAAACACAAAACATGAAAAGATATACCATGTTCATGTATTGGAAGACTCAATATTGTTAAAAAGACTGTACCACCCAAAGCAGTCTACGGATTCAATTCAGTGCTGTCCCTATCAAAATACAAATGACATTCTTCACAGATTTAAAAGAAACCATCCTAAAATTTACATGGAATCACGAAAGACCAAGAAAAGCCAAAGCTATCCTAAGCATAAAGAACAAAACTGGAGGAATCACATTACCTGACTTCAAATTATACTAGAGAACTATAGTAACCAAAACAATGTGGTACTGGTATAAAAACAGACACATAGACCAATGGAGTAGAAGGCAGAACCCGGAAAGAAATCCACTGCCTACAGTTAACTCATTTTTGAGAAATGTGTGAAGAACAAACATTAGGGAAAATACATTAGGGTCTCTTCAATAAATGGTGGTGCTGTGAAAACTGGATATCCATATGTAGGAGAATGAAACTAGACCCCTATATTTCACCACATACAAAAGTCGAATCAAGATGTGTTAAAGACTTCACTCTAAAATCTAAAATTATGTGACTACTACAGGAAAACATTGGGGAACATCTCCAGGTTATTGGTCTAGCCAAAAATTTCTTGAGCGATACCCTACAAGCACAGGCAACCAGGGCAAAAATGCACAAATGGAATCACATCAAGTTACAAAGCTTTTGCATCAACAAAATGAAGAGACAACCCATAAAATCAGAGAAAATATTTGCCAGCTACCCATCTAACAAGGGATTAATAACCAGAATGTATAAGAAACACAAACAACTCTATAGGAAAAAAAAGTAATATTCTGATCAAAAGATGAGCAACAGATTTGAATGGACATTTCTCAAAAAAAAAAAAAAAAAGACATACAAATGGCAAACAGGCATAGGAAAAGGTGCTCAACATCACTGATCATTAGAGAAATGCAAATTGAAACCACAATGAGATATCATCTCAGTCAAGTTAAAATGGCTCATATCCAAAAGAAAGTCAATAACAGATGCTAGCAAGAATGTAAAGAAAAGAGAACCTTTGTACATCGCTGGTGGAAATATAAATTAGTACAACCAATATGGAGAACATTTTGGAAGTTCCTCAAAAAACTAAAAATAGAGATACTATATGAAGCATTCCCATTGCTGGGTATATACTCAATAGAAAGAAGATCAGTATATCAGAGAGGTGTTTGCACTCCCATTATTATTACAGCAGTAATATCCAACATTTGGAAATAACCTAAGTGTCCATTAACATAGAAAATGGGGTACTCCTAAGCTAGCAGAAGACAAAAAATAAAATCAGAGCTGAACTGAAGGAGATAGAGATACAATAAAACATTCAAAAGATCAATTAATCCAAGAGCTGGTTTTTTGAGAAAATTAATAAAATAGACTGCTAGCTAGACAAATAAAGAAAAGAGAGAAGATTCAAATAAACACCATCAGAAATGATAAGGGGGATATTACCACTGAGCCCACAGAAATTCAACCAACCACCAGAGGATATTATAAACCCCTCTATGCGCATAAACTGGAAAATCTAGAAGAAATGAATACATACCTGAACACATACACTCTCACAAGACTGAACGAGGAAGAAGTTGAATCCCTGAATATACCAATAATGAGTTCTGAAATTGAGGCAGTAATAAATAGCTTACCACCACCAACAACAGCAAGAGGCCCAGGACCAGATGGATTCACAGCTAAATTCTACCAGATGTATGAAAATGAACTGGTGCCATTCCTACTGAAACGATTCCAAAATATTGAAAAAGAGGGACTCCTCCCTAACTCATTCTATGAGGCCAGAATCATCATGTTAGCAAAACCTGGCAGAGATACAACAAAAAAAGAAAACTTCAGGCTAATATCCTTGATGAAGATCGGTGCAAAAATCCTCAAGAAAATACTAGCAAAGTGAATCCAGCAGCACATCAGAAAGCTTATCCACCACAAGCAAATAGGGTTCTTCCCTGGGATGCAAGGTTGGTTCAACATACATAAATCAATAAATGTGATTCATCACATAAACAAAACTAAAGACAAAAACCACATGATTATCTCAATAAATGCAGAAAAGGCTTTCTGAAAAATTAATCCCTTCGTGTTAAAAACTCTCAATAAACCAGGTACTGAAAGAACATACCTCAGAATAATAAGAGCCATATGTGACAAACCCACAGCCAATATCATACTGAATGGGAAACAGCTGGAAGCATCCACCTTGAAAACTTGCACAAGACAAGGATGCCTTCTCTCACCACTTCTATTCAACATAATATTAGAGGTTCTGCAAGGCACTCCAGCTGATGGGCCTCGCTGAGCTCCCAGCTGACAGCCAGCACCAACCTGCAGCAGTGTAAGTGATCATCTTATACTTTCCTGCCCAGTCACATTTCAGATGTCTGCAACTCCAAGCACATTGAGCAGAAGGTTCACAGAGATGAGTCCAGTCCTCTGTCAACCCAGATAATCCTGAGACAATAAATAGTTATTGTTTTAACCCACTAAGTTTTGAGATAATTTTTTACACAGGAACAATCAAAATAGTTATTTTCACTTCTCGTGGGTATTAGGAGTAGAACTGCTGACAGGCCAGGCACAGTGGCTCACGCCTATAATCCCAGCTCTTTGGGAGGCCAAGGTGGGCAGATCACCTGAGGTCGGGAGTTCGAGACCAGCCTGACAAACATGAAGAAACCCATCTCTACTAAAAATACAAAAATTAGCTGGGCTTGGTGGCGCATGCCTGTAATCTCAGCTACTCGGGAGGCTGAGGCCTACTTAAACCTGGTAGGCGGAGGTTGTGGTGAGCCGAGATTGAGCCATTGCATTCCAGCCTGGGCAATAAGAGTCAAACTCCATCTCAAAAAAATAAAAAATAAAAAAATGAGTAGAACTGCTGGATCATATAATATCTGTATATTAATCTTTATAGAAAATTACCAAATTATTGTCAAAAGTAGTTTTACGTCTTCATACTCCCAGTAGCAAAGTACGAGTGCTCTGGTTTCTCCATATCCTCATCATAACTCTTTCTAAAATTTTAGCTACTGGCAATTGTTCATGGTATCCCATTGGGTTTTTAATTATTATTTCTTGATTACTAATAATGTTGAAAACTTTTCATTGTGTTTAATTATCATTTGTAAATCTTCCTTTGTGGAATCTGTTTACAAATCTTTTGTCTATTTTGTTTTAAATTGAGTTTTTGCCATTTTATATTTATTTGTTCGAGTTCATTGCATATTCTAGATACAAGTCCTTTGATTCATAGATAAATGTATTGTGATTCTTTATATATATATATTTTATTATACTTTAAGTTCTAGGGTACATGTGCACAACCTGCAGGTTTGTTACACATGTATACAAGTGCCATGTTGGTGTGCTGCACCCATTAACTTGTCATTTGCATTAGGTATATCTCCCAATGCTATCCCTCCCCTCTCCCCCCACCCCACAACAGGCCTCTGTCCAAGTGTTCTCATTGTTCAATTCCCACCTATGAGTGAGAACATGCGATATTTGGTTTTTTGAACTTGTGATAGTTTGGTCAGAATGATGGTTTCCAGCTTCATCCATGTCCCTACAAAGGACAGGAACTCATCATTTTTTATACCTGCATAGTATTCCATGGTGTATATCTGCCACATTATCTTAATCCAGTCTATCATTGTTGGACATTTGGGTTGGTTCCAAGTCTTTGCTATTGTGAATAGTGCCACGTTAAACATACATGTGCATGTGTATTTATAGCAGCATGATTTATAATCGTTTGGGTACATACCCAGTAATGGGATGGCTGGGTCAAATGGCATTTCTAGTTCTAGATCCCTGAGGAATCGCCACACGGTCTTCCACAATGATCAAACCAGTTTACAGTCCCACCAACAGTGTAAAAGTGTTCCTATTTCTCCACATCCTCTCCAGCACCTGTTGTTTCCTGACTTTTTAATGATCACCATTCTAACCGGTGTGAGATGGTATCTCATTGTGGTTTTGATTTGCATTTCTCTGATTACCAGTGATGATGAGCACTTTTTCATGCGTCTGTTGGCTGCATAAATGTCTTCTTTTGAAAAGGGTTTGTTCATATCCTTTGCCCACTTTTTCATAGGGTTGTTTGACTTTTTCTTGTAAATTTATTTAAGTTCTTTGTAGATTCTGGATATGAGCCCTTTGTCAGATGGGTAGATTTCAAAAATTTTCTCCCATTCTGTAGGTTGCCTGTTCACTCTGATGGTAGTTTCTTTTGCTGTGCAGAAGCTCTTTAGTTAGATCCCATTTGCCAATTTTGGCTTTTGTTGCCATTGCTTTTGGTGTTTTAGACATGAAGTCCTTGCCCATGCCTATGTCCTGAATGGTATTGCCTAGGTTTTCTTCTAGGGTTTTTATGGTTTTAGGTCTAACATGTAATTCTTTAATCCATCTTGAATGAATTTTTGTATAAGGTGTAAGGAAGGGATCCAGTTTCAGCTTTCTACATATGGCTAGCCAGTTTTCCCAGCACCATTTATTAAATAGGGAATCCTTTCGCCATTTCTTGTTTTTGTCAGGTTTGTCAAAGATCGGATAGTTGTAGATGTGCGGTATTATTTCTGAGGGCTCTGTTCTGTTCCAGTGCTCCATATCTCTGTTTTGGTACCAGTACCATGCTGTTTTGGTTACTGTAGCCTTGTAGTATAGTTTGAAGTCAGGTAGCGTGATGCCCTCCAGCTTTGTTCTTTTGGCTTAGGATTGACTTGGCAATGCGGGCTCTTTTTTGGTTCCATATGAACTTTAAAGTAGTTTTTTCCTATTCTGTGAGGAAAGTCATTGGTAGCTTGATGGGAATGGCATTGAATGTATAAATTACCTTGGGCAGTATGGCCATTTTCATGGTATTGATTCTTCCTACCCATGAGCATGGAATGTTCTTCCATTTGTTTGTATCCTCTTATTTCATTGAGCAGTGGTTTGTGGTTCTCCTTGAAGAGGTCCTTCACATCCCTTGTAAGTTGGATTCCTAGGTATTTTATTCTCTTTGAAGCAATTGTGAATGGGAGTTCACTCATGATTTGGCTCTCTGTTTGTCTGTTATTGGTGTGTAAGAATGCTTGTGATTTTTGCACATTGATTTTGTATCCTGAGATTTTGCTGAAGTTGCTTATGAGCTTAAGGAGATTTTGGGCTGAGATGATGGGGTTTTCTGGATATACAATCATGTCGTCTGCAAACAGGGACAATTTGACTTCCTCTTTTCCTAATTGAATACCCTTTATTTCTTTCTCCTGCCTGATTGCCCTGGCCAGAACTTCCAACACCATGTTGAATAAGAGTGGTGAGACAGGGCATCCCTGTCTTTGCCAGTTTTCAAAGGGAATGCTTCCAGTTTTTGCCCATTCAGTATGATATTGGCTGTGGGTTTGTCATAAATAGCTCTTATTATTTTGAGATACATCCCATCAATATCTAATTTGTTGAGTGTTTTTAGCATGAAGGGTTGTTGAATTTTGTCAAAGGCCTTTTCTGCATCTATTGAGATAATCATGTGGTTTTTGTCATTGGTTCTGTTTATATGCTGGATTACATTTATTGATTTGCATATGTTGAACCAGCGTTGCATCCCAGGGATGAAGCCCACTTGATCATGGTGGATAAGCTTTTTGATGTGCTGCTGGATATGGTTTGCCAGCATTTTATTGAAGATTTTTGCATCGATGTTCATCAGGGATATTGGTCTAAAATTCTCTTTTTTTGGTTGTGTCTCTGCCAGGCTTTGGTATCAGGATGATGCTGGCCTCATAAAATGAGTTAGGGAGGATTTCCTGTTTTTCTATTGATTGGAATAGTTTCAGAAGGAATGGTACCAGCTCCTCCTTGTACCTCTGGGAGAATTCGTCTGTGAATCCGTCTGGTCCTGGACTTTTTTTCATTGATAAGCTATTAGTTATTGCCTCAATTTCAGAGCCTGTTATTGGTCTATTCAGGGATTAAACTTCCTCCTGGTTTAGTCTTGGGAGGGTGTATGTGTCCAGGAATTTATCTATTTCTTCTAGATTTTCTAGTTTATTTGTGTAGAGTTGTTTATAGTATTCTCTGATGGTAGTTTGTATTTCTGTGGGATTGGTGGTGATATCCCCTTTATCATTTTTTATTGCATCTATTTGATTCTTCTCTCTTTTCTTCTTTGTTAGTCTTGCTAGCAGTCTATCAATTTTGTTGATCTTTTAAAAAAAAAGCTCCTGGATTCATTGATTTTTTGAAGGGTTCTTTGTGTTTCTATCTCCTTCAGTTCTGCTCTGATCTTAGTTATTTCTTGCCTTCTCCTAGCTTTTGAATGTGTTTGCCCTTGCTTCTCTAGTTCTTTTAATTGTGATGTTAGGGTGTCAGTTTTAGATCTTTCCTGCTTTCTCTTGTGGACATTTAGTGCTATAAATTTCCCTCTACACACTACTTTAAATGTGTCCCAGAGATTCTGGTATGTTGTGTCTTTGTTCTCGTTGGTTTCAAAGAACATCTTCATTTCTGCCTTCATTTTGTTATGTGCCCAGTAGTCATTCAGGAGCAGGTTGTTCAGTTTCCATGTAGTTGAGCGGTTTTGAGTGAGTTTCTTAATCCTGAGTTCTAGTTTGATTGCACTGTGGTCTGAGAGACGGTTTGTTATAATTCCTGTTCTTTTACATTTGCTGAGGAGTGCTTTACTTCCAACTATGTGGTCAATTTTAGAATAGGTGTGTTGTGGTGCTGAGAAGAATGTATATTTTGTTCATTTGGGGTGGAGAGTTCTGTAGATGTCTATTAGGTCCGCTTCGTGCAGAGCTGAGTTCAATTCCTGGATATCCTTGTTAACTTTCTGTCTCGTTGATCTGTCTAATGTTGACAGTGGGGTGTTAAGGTCTCCCATTATTATTCTGTGGGAGTCTAAGTCTCTTTGTAGGTCTCTAAGGACTTGCTTTATGAATCTGGGTGTTCCTGTATTGGGTGCATATATATTTAGGATAGTTAGCTCTTCTTCTTGAATTGATCTCTTTACCATTATCTAATGGCCTTCTTTGTCTCTTTTGATCTTTGTTGGTTTAAAGTCTGTTTTATCAGAGATTAGGATTGCAATCCCTGCCTTTTTTGTTTTCCATTTCTTTGGTAGATCTTCCTCCATCCCTTTATTTTGAGCCTATGTGTGTCTCTGCACATGAGATGGGTTTCCTGAATACAGCACACTGATGGTTCTTGACTCTTTTATCCAATTTGCCAGTCTGTGTCTTTTAATTGGAGAATTTAGCCCATTTACATTTAAGGTTAATATTGTTATGTGTGAATGTGATCCTGTCATTATGATGTCAGCTGGTTATTTTGCTCGTTAGTTGATGCAGTTTCTTCCTAGCCTCGATGGTCGTTACAATTTCACATGTTTTTGCAGTGGCTAGTACTGGTTGTTCCTTTCCATGTTTAGTGCTTCCTTCAGGAGCTCTTGTAGGGCAGGCCTGGTGGTGACAAAATCTCTCAGCATTTGCTTGTCTGTAAATGATTTTATTTCTCCTTCACTTATGAAGCTTAGTTTGGCTGGATATGAAATTCTGGGTTGAAAATTCTTTTCTTTAAGAATGTTGAATATGGGCCCCCACTGTCTTCTGGCTTGTAGAGTTTCTGCTGAGAGATCAGCTGTTAGTCTGATGGGCTTGCCTTTGTGGGTAACCCAACCTTTCTCTCTGGCCACCCTTAACATTTTTTCCTTCATTTCAACTTCCATGAATCTGACAATTATGTGTCTTGGAGTTGCTCTTCTCGAGGAGTATCTTTGTGGCATTCTCTGTATTTCTTGAATTTGAATGTTGGCCTGCCTTGCTAGATTGGGGAAGTTCTCCTGGATAATATCCTGCAGAGTGTTTTCCAACTTGGTTTCATTCTCCCCGTCACTGTCAGGTACACCAATCAGACGTAGATTTGGTCTTTTCACATAGTCCCATATTTCTTGGAGGCCTTGTTCTTTTCTTTTTATTCTTTTTTCTCTTAACTTCTCTTCTCGCTTCATTTCATTCATTTGATCTTCCATTACTGATACCCTTTCTTCCAGTTGATTGAATCGGCTACTGAAGCTTGTGCATTCATCACGTAGTTCTCGTGCCATGGTTTTCAGCTCCATCAGGTCCTTTAAGGACTTCTCTGCGTTGGTTATTCTAGTTAGCCATTCGTCTAATCTTTTTCTAGGTTTTTAACCTCTTTGCAATGGGTTCGAATTTCCTCCTTTAGCTCAGAGAAGTTTGATCATCTGAAGCCTTCTTCTCATCAAAGTCATTCTCCGTCCAGCTTTGTTCCATTGCTGGTGAAGAGCTGCATTCCTTTGGAGGAGGAGAGGCGCTCTGATTTTTAGAATTTTCAGTTTTTCTGCTCTGTTTTTTCCCCATCTTTGTGGTTTTATCTACCTTTGGTCTTTGATGATGGTGACATACAGATGGGGTTTTGGTGTGGATGTCCTTTCTGTTTGTTAGTTTTCCTTCTAACAGTCAGGACCCTCAGCTGCAGGTCTGTTGGAGTTTGCTGGAGGTCCACTCCAGACCCTCTTTGCCTGGGTATCAGCATCGGAGGCTTCAGAACAGCGAATATTGCTGAACAGGAAATGTTGCTGTCTGATCGTTCCTCTGGAAGCTTCATCTCAGAGGGGCACCCAGCCATGTGAGGTATCAGTCTGCCCCTACCGGGGGGTGCCTCCAAGTTAGGCTACTCGCGGGTCAGGGACCCACTTGAGGAGGCAGTCTGTCTGTTCTCAGATCTCAAGCTGCATGCTGGGAGAACCACTACTCTCTTCCTAGCTGTCAGATGGGGACATTTAAATCTGCAGAGGTTTCTGCTGCCTTTTTTTCGGCTATGCCCTGCCCCCAGAGGTGGAGTCTACAGAGGCAGGCAGGCCTCCTTGGGCTGTGGTGGGCTCCACCCAGTTCGAGCTTCCCGGCCTGCTTTGTTTACCTACTCAAGCCTCAGCTATGGCAGATGCCCCTCCCCCAGCCTCAATGCGGCATTGCAGTTCAATTTCAGACTGCTGTGCTAGCAATGAGCGAGGTTCCGTGGGCGTAGGACCCTCCGAGCCAGACGCGGGATATAATCTCTTGGTTTGCCGTTTGCTAAGACTGTCAGAAAAGCGCAGTATTAGGGTGGGAGTGACCCGATTTTCCAGGTGCCGTTTGTCACCCCTTCCTTTGGCTAGGAAAGGGAATTCCCTGACCCCTTGCACTTCCCGGGTGAGGCGATGCCTCGCCCTGCTTTGGCTCATGCTCGGTGCCCTGCACCCACTGTCCTGCACCCACCGTCCAACAATCACCAGTGAGATGAATCTGGTACCTCAGTTGGAAATGCAGAAATCACCCATCTTCTGAGTCGCTCATGCTAGGAGCTGTAGACTGGAACTGTTCCTATTTAGCAATCTTTGAACTGCCATATTGTGATTCTTTACTCCAGTCTATAGCTTGACTTTTTACTTTCTTAAGAATGTCTTTGAGGAAGAGAAAGTTTGAATTCTGTTGAAGTCAAATTTACCAATTTTTAAAATGATTAACAATATTTTATGTGTGTTCTCTCTAAGAAATCATTGTCTACCTCCAAGGTTGAAAGATATTCTCTTACAACTTTTCTTAAAGTTTTCCTTTACCTTTTATATTCATTTATATAGACCATATTGAGTTTAATTTTTTGTGAATGGACCAAAATAGTAATTGAGATACATTGTTTCATTTTTAATATAACTATCCAATTATTATAACAAGATTTTTGAAAACTTTATTCATTAAATTTACTCAGAACCAATACATATATATGTGTATATATACATGTATGTGTGTATATAGATATATATTTATGTGTGTATATATATATGTGTGTGTGTATGTATATATATATATATATATATATGGTTCTGGCTAGAGAAATCAGGCAAGAGGAAGAAATAAATAGTATTCAAATAGGAGGACAGGAGGTCACAGTATGCCTGTTTGCAGATGACATAGTCCTATATCTAGAGAACTCCATCTTCTCAGCCCAAAAGCTTCTCAAGCTGATAAGCAACTTCAGCAAAGTTTCAGGATATGAAATCTATGTGTAGAAGTCACTAGTATTCCTACACACCAAAAACAGTCAAGCCAATAGCCAAATTGTGAATGAACTACAACTCACAATTGCTGCAAAAAGAATAAAATACGTAGGAATAGACCTAAAAAGGGAAGTAAAGGACAAGTGAAAATGTGGTACAGATACAGGCATAGAATACTATGCAGCTATATAAAATAATGAGATCATGTCCTTTGCAGGGACACGGATGAAGCTGGAGTCCATTAATAGCAAATAATGCCGGAACAGAAAAACAAATACTGCATGTTCTCACTTATAAGAGGGAGGTAAATGATGAGAACAGATGGACACATAGAAGGAAACAATGGATACTGGGGCCTACTGAAGTACGGAGGGTGAGAGGAAGGAGAGGATCAGAAACAATAATGAATAATAGGCTTAATACCTGGGTGATGAAATAATCTGTATAATATACCCCCATGAGACAAATTTAACTATGTAACAAACCTGTACCTCCTCCACATGTACCCCTGAACTTAACAGTTATAAAAAAAAGAAAATGAGGTGCTTATACACAATGGAGTACTATTCAGTCATAAAAATGGATGAGATTCTATCATTTTCAACAACATGGAAGGAACTGGAGATCATTACGTTAAGTGAAATAAGCCAGGCACAGAAAGACAAACTGGATATTCTGACTTATTTGTCAGATCTAAAAATCAAAACAATTGAATTCATGAACAGAGAGTGTAGATGGATGGTTACCAGAGGCCGGGAATGGTAGTGGGGATCAGGGAGTAATGGTTATTGGGTACAAAAAATAGTTAACAAGAATGTATAAATCTAGTATTTGATAGCACAACAGGGAGACTACAGTTAATAATAATTTCCTTGTACATTTAAAAAAAACTAAGAGTATAATTGGATTATTTGTAATACAAAGGATGCATGCTTGAGGGATGGATACCCAATTTTTTATAATATGATTGTTACACATTGTGTTCCTGTACCAAGATATCTCATGTACCCCATAAATATATACATCTATGTCCTCACAAATATTGCAAGTAAAATAATTTTTTTAAAAGAATCACTACAGTGGAAGAAACATTTGTGAAGCTTTGAACTCTGACAATAACAGTGATTCAGCCTCCTTCCTATGTCAGACTCTCAGATTTACATTCCTTTCCATCTCTCTCTTTTTTGTTTATTTGACAGAGTAGTGCATTAAGTTCAGAATAATGCAGTCCAATCTGAATACATAAGAGCTGAAAGGGGAGAGCTGAAAGGAGTGTATCTGAAGGGATTACTCCAAGAAGACTCCCCCAGAAGAGGTCTCTCTTAAAGTGAGATCTAGCAGGTCTGTTTAGCACTTGATTCTTGAGCTGGCATGCAGGAACAAGGCTGCTTGGGCAGAAAGGCATGGACAAGAGGGCTTTGGATGACCACACAATTGAGTATTGCGTTCACATGCAAGACAAGGTATTTCCTTTTTGATTGTGTAAGACTCTATAAATGAGGAAGGTCATTGCCAGACAGAAAACTTCATGGACTATTTATCATTATAAAGTGGGCAGAAGATATTGACTGACCTGGTGGCTTAATCAGAATTCTGAGCAAAAGCTTCATTAAATGATAATTCAGTGCATCAGATTTATATAGTCCCTGTCCTCATTAACAATATAAATATTTATTTAACATAACATTTTGGAATTGAACACAGTATGGTAATAAGTTTCTTCCCTCCCTAAGCTGCTAGCAATTGATTCTCACCTAGTTGTGTGGGTGACACTTAGGCTTTAGCCTTCTCAAGAATAATCCATGAGGCATGAGTTACTGTGCTATAATTCATATTTTGCCAGGGTTTTTAGATTTTATAAAGGAAGCTGTCCTTGGCATCATTGGGAATTCTCCAGGAACAGACTGGATCTGTGATAGGACAGCCTCAGAATATTCTAGAATACAAATGGTGCTCTTGAGCTCCCCACTTTATTCCCAGCAAGAGGCTGAGGTTTTTGCAGGTATGCCCCCATTTATGTAATAGGTGTGCTTCTGAAAATCACTGTGTAAACACATCCACATACATAAATAATGAAGCTTTAAATTAACAGTATATGGTCACTATTGAAGAACAAGTTTTTGCAAAGTGAAATATCTTTTTGTAATGTGAATATCATCACTGGTTTTATAAGCATGGTTTCTGGTATATTCAGCTTCTTTAGAAGTGAAACCTATTCATATGTAAGCCCAGGGAAATAGTAATTGCAGTCTTCATGTGTTCAGGCTGACTGGGTCAATATTTTTACAGGGTCTCCCTAATTCTTTTAAGTTGGGAGCAGATGGCCCTATTACATGAATGATAAATTGTGAAAATTGAGCATAGAAGAAAAAATAGTGTTAGAATCAAATAAAACTTGTTACGAAGTTAAAATGAGACATGTCTAATGATTTGTGTGGTAACTGGGCCAAAATATTAAGTGGTTTCTATAAATGGTTATAATTAGTGTGACTCTAGAAGGCCAGTCAAACATTTCTAGGGACAGAGGATGTTGAAGAGAGTGTTAAAGAAAAGTGACCAGACCTTTTTGAGAGCCCCTACAGCCATAACTCAGAAGGACTCAGGGCTTTCCCCGCTTCAGCTAGGCGTGCCAATAGCTCAGCTTTCAAGGAATTCCTGACTGATAGAGATTTATTATGTCAGACCCAAACCTGTAAGACCAAATCAGGCAAGTCATACTTATCGTGGACCACTTATTTCTCAAGTTGAGCGTGACTCAGAATTCCCTGGAAAGCTTGTAAAAGCACAGAGGACTGAGACCCATTCCCAGTGCTTCTTGTTCAGTAGGCCTAGGATTGGGCTCAATAATTTGTATTTCTAACAAGTTCTGATGTGATGCTGTTCCTTTGGGGGGACACTCTTTGAGAATTACTGGCTTAGAGAAAGGGTGCACATCTTAGTCTGTTTTCTGCTACTATAACAGAATACCTGAGACTGGATAATTGATAAACAGTAGACATTTATTTGGCTCATGGTTCTGGAGGCTGAGTCAGCATCCAGTGAGGGCCTTTATGCTGCACCATTCCATGGTGGTGGGAGGAGGGGCAAGAGAAGGCAAGAGTAAAAAAGCAAGAGAAGGCTGAACTTGCTTTTGTAACAACCAGTTCTCACAATAACGAACCCACTTCTGAGATAAGGGAATTAACCCATTCATGAGAGTGGAGCCCACATGGCCTAATCACATCTTAACTGTCCTACCTCTTAATATTATCAAAATGGCTATTAACATTCAACATGAATTTTGGAGGGGACCTTCAAGCCATAGAAGTGCCACTGCAGGAACCTCAGGAACAAATGGCTAATCAAGAGAAGAAGCCCAATAAGTTGTCATTTTTACCTCACGACATGGAGAGAGAACTGGGTCCAGGGGTGGGTGGGCTTCAAGAGCTATCAGCTCTCCTCAGTATCCCTCTCCCCAGGGTCTCACTTGCATTCATGGATTCATTGGAGACATATCAGTCATGGGAACTGCAGCAGAGAAGATTACAGTCCAGAAGGTATGATGAAATGTGCACACTGGATGAGAATCTAAGTTGACAATGCTATGTGCATACAAGAGGTACAACTCCTAATACGACTACACTTTTTGGTTTCATTCACCTCCTATTCTTCAATATGACAATTTCCCACACTCCCTCTCCACAATCACCCAACACATCTTGCTCCATTCTCACTTAGGGGATGACCTTACATTTTACTTCATCAAAAACACCAAAACAATCCAAAGGGAATTTTCACAAGCTTCCACATCTCTCCAACCACCTTCACCTGAGCCATGTATTTGGTCTTCTGTTCCATTACACTGGGTTAATTTGAGTTCTCCAGAGAAACAGAACCAACAGGATGTGTGTGTACGTATATGCATAGATAGATAGATAGATAGATAGATAGATAGATAGATAGATAGATAGAGAGATAGACAGACAGACAGACAGACAGACAGATAGACTTTAAGGAATTGGCTCACACAGTTGTTAGGGCTGGCAGGTCTAAAATCTGCAGGGTAGGTTGGCAGGCTGGAGACCCAGGAAAGAGTTGATGTTGCAGTTCAAGTCCAAAGGCACTCTGGAAGCAGAATTCCCTCTTCTTTGGGGTACTTCAGTTTTCCTTAAGGCCTTCAACTGATTGCCTGAGGCCCACTCATATTATACAAGGGAATCTGCTTTACTCAAACTGTACTGATTTAAATGTTAATCACATCCAAAACACCCTCACAGAAATATTCAGGATAATGTTTAACCAAATATCTGGGTAATGCAGCCCAGCCAAGATGACACATAAAATTAACTATCACACTGGGTTAATTGGTCATGTTCTTTCCTTGGCCAGTCCTTGCAATGGTGCCCTACCTAGATCCCATGCCCCTCACACATTCATGAACTTCTTTCCTGCCATCTGTCCTTGTTTTCCTTCCTGATCATTTTTTTCTACTTGATCTTTCTCATCAGCTATAATATCTCTCAACGTTATAAATTTTCCCTTGACCCCCATATCCTCCTCTAGCTACTTCCCAGTGGCTCTGCTCCCCTTTACAGCAGATCTTCTCCAGAGAGTTGTCTATAACTGCTCTCTCAATTCTTACTCCTCCAATTCTCCATTGAACTCACTGCAGTGAGTTCAGTTGAATGCCTTAGGTGAAGGCTTAAGTGAAAGTAGTCAGGCTTTCATCCCCAAAACTACACTTGTCAAGGCTACCAGTCACTCCATTGGTGTCAAATCCAATGGATGTTGCTCAGTCCTCATCAAGCAGCAGCATTTAGCACATTAGTTTCTTCATTTTTCTTCAAATATGTTCTTCAGTTGTCTCTCAGTACACCACACTCTGGGTTTTGCTTTACCTCATTGGCCACTAATGTATCAGTCTTCTTTTCTGGTTTCTCCTCATACTCCTGATTTCTAAATATCAGAGTACCCTTGGGCTAAGTCCTCGGCTTTCTCATCTTTTCTATTTATGTTCACCTGCTAGGTGATCTAATGTGGCCCCATGGCTTTAAATACTTTGGATATTGTAGCCTTGTAGTATAGTTTGAAGTCAGGTAGCATGATGCCTCCAGCTTTGTTCTTTTGGCTTAGGATTGACTTGGCAATGCGGGCTCTTTTTTGGTTCCATATGAACTTTAAAGTAGTTTTTTCCAATTCTGTGAAGAAAGTTATTGGTAGCTTGATGGGGATGGCATTGAATCTATAAATTACCTTGGGCAGTATGGCCATTTTCACGATATTGATTCTTCCTACCCATGAGCATGGAATGTTCTCATTTGTATCCTCTTTTATTTCATTGAGCAGTGGTTTGTAGTTCTCCTTGAAGAGGTCCTTCACGCCCCTTGTAAGTTGGATTCCTAGGTATTTTATTCTCTTTGAAGCCATTGTGAATGGGAGTTCACTCATGATTTGGCTCTCTGTTTGTCTGTTATTAGTGTATAAGAATGCTTGTGATTTTGGCACATTGATTTTGTATCCTGAGACTTTGCTGAAGTTGCTTATCAGCTTAAGGAGATTTTGGGCTGAGACAATGGGGTTTTCTAGATATACAATCATGTCATCTGCAAACAGGGACGATTTGACTTCCTCTTTTCCTAATTGAATATGCTTTATTTCCTTCTCCTGCCTAATTGCCCTGGCCAGAACTTTCAACACTATGTTGAATAGGAGTGGTGAGAGAGGGCATCCCTGTCTTGTGCCAGTTTTCAAAGGGAATGCTTCCAGTTTTTGCCCATTCAGTATGATATTGGCTGTGGGTTTGTCATAGATAGCTCTTATTATTTTGAGATACGTCCCATCAATACCTAATTTATTGAGAATTTTTAGCATGAAGCATTGTTGAATTTTGTCAAAGGCCTTTTCTGAATCTATTGAGATAATCATGTGCTTTTTGTCTTTGGTTCTGTTTATATGCTGGATTATACTTATTGATTTGCGTATATTGAACCAGCCTTGCATCCCAGAGATGAAGCCCACTTGATCATGGTGGATAAGCTTTTTGATGTGCTGCTGGATTTGATTTGCCAGTATTTTACTGAGGATTTTTGCATCAGTGTTCATCAAGGATATTGGTCTAAAATTCTCTTTTTTGGTTGTGTCTCTGCCCAGCTTTGGTATCAGGATGATGCTGGCCTCATAAAATGAGTTAGGGAGGATTCCCTGTTTTTCTATTGATTGGAATAGTTTCAGAAGGAATGGTACCAGCTCCTCCTTGTACCTCTGCTAGAATTCGGCTGTGAATCCACCTGGTCCTGGACTCTTTTTGGTTGGTAAGCTATTGATTATTGCCTCAATTTTAGAGCCTGTTATTGGTCTATTCAGAGATTCAACTTCTTCCTGGTTTAGTCTTGGGAGGGTGTATGTGTTGAGGAATTTATCCATTTCTTCTAGATTTTCTATTTTTTTTGCGTAGGGGTGTTTGTAGTATTCTCTGATGGTAGTTTGTATTTCTGTGGGATCGTTGGTGATATCCCCTTTATCATTTTTTGTTGCATCTATTTGATTCTTCTGTCTTTTCTTCTTTATTAGTCTTGCTAGCAGTCTATCAATTTTGTTGGTCCTTTCAAAAAACCAGCTCCTGGAACAGCATGGTACTGGTACCAAAACAGAGATATAGATCAATGGAACAGAAAGAGCCCTCAGAAATAACGCCACATATCTACAACTATCTGATCTTTGACAAACCTGAGAAAAACAAGCAATGGGGAAAGGATTCCCTATTTAATAAATGGTGCTGGGAAAACTGGTTAGCCATATGTAGAAAGCTGAAACTGGATCCCTTCCTTACACCTTATACAAAAATTAATTCAAGATGGATTAAAGACTTAAACGTTAGACCTAAAACCGTAAAAACCCTAGAAGAAAACCTAGGCATTACCATTCAGGACATAGGCATGGGCAAGGACTTCATGTCTACAACACCAAAAGCAATGGCAACAAAAGCCAACATTGACAAATGGGATCTAATTCAACTAAAGAGCTTCTGCACGGCAAAAGAAACTACCATCAGAGTGAACAGGCAACCTACAAAATGGGAGAAAATTTTCGCAACCTACTCATCTGACAAACGGCTAATATCCAGAATCTACAATGAACTCAAACAAATTTACAAGAAAATAACAAACAACCCATCAAAAAGTGGGCGAAGGACATAAACAGACACTTCTCAAAAGAAGACATTTATGCAGCCAAAAAACACATGAAAAAATGCTCACCATCACTGGCCATCAGAGAAATGCAAATCAAAACCACAGTGAGATAGCATCTGACACCAGTTAGAATGGCAATCATTAAAAAGTCAGGAAACAACAGGTGCTGGAGAGGATGTGGAGAAACAGGAACACTTGTACACTGTTGGTGGGACTGTAAACTAGTTCAACCTTTGTGGAAGTCAGTGTGGTGATTCCTCAGGGATCTAGAACTAGAAATACCATTTGACCCAGCCATCCCATTACTGGGTATACACCCAAAGGACTATAAATCATGCTGCTATAAACACACATGCACACGTATGTTTAATGTGGCACTATTCACAATAGCAAAGACTTGGAACCAAGCCAAATGTCCAACAATGATAGCCTGGATTAAGAAAATGTGGCACATATACACCATGGAATACTATGCAGCCATAAAAAATGATGAGTCCATGTCCTTTGTAGGGACATGGATGAAATTGGAAATCATCATTCTCAGTAAACTATCGCAAGAACAAAAAACCAAACACCACATGTTCTCACTCATAGGTGGGAATTGAACAATGAGAACACATGGACACAGGAAGGGGAACATCACACTCTGGGGACTGTTGTGGGGTGGGGGGAGGGGGAGGGATAGCTTTAGGAGATAGACCTAATGCTAAATGACGAGTTAATGGGTGCAGCACACCAGCATGGCACATGTATACGTATGTAACTAACCTACACATTGTGCACATGTACCCTAAAACTTAAAGTATAACAATAATTAAAAAAAAATACTTTGGATATACTAATGACCTCAAAGTTACTCCAATAAATGTGTAACTGCATGCTGGAATCAACCCAAAGAAAGAAAGATACACTGTGCTATGAGATCATATGCCAGGGGTTCTTGTCCCAATCTAAAACAGGTGTTTACAAACTTTGGCCTGTAGGCCAATATTCAGCTTGCAATCTGTTTTTGCCAATAAAGTCTTATTGGAACAGAGCTACACCCATTTGTGTACTATAAAGCTGCTTTTTATACTACAATGGCAGAGTTTAATCTTTGTGACAGAGATTATACTGCCAGCAAACCTGAAAATATTTACTGTTTGGCCCAGAAATTTGTTGACCCCTGGCTGGGAGATCAAGGAACACATGATATTTGAATTGAGGTCGGAAATATGAATAGGAGTCATCCAGGCAAAGGGGAGTCAAGAGCATTTCAAGGCACTAGAACAGCACTGTACAAGCCTTGAGAGGGAAGGGAGCATGGGGAATCAGAGGACCTAATGGAAAGCTAGTATGCCTGGAGAACGGGTTCAACATACCAAACAAGGCTGATTAATGGTGGAGGCAGTTGTGTACCTCACAAATATTGCATAAACCAGTGCTTCCAAAACTTTATTATGTGTTAAAATAAAAACACCTGTTAAAATGCAGATTCTGATTCAATAGGTCTGGGATGGGTCCTGTGATGTTGCATTTTAAGCAAGGATCAGGGGACGCTTAAGTGGTATGTCTTCAGATCACATTTTGAATAGGAAGCCATGCTGAGTGGTTGGATAAGAGGCATCGGCGGGGGAAGAAGGAATAAAGGATGATTCCAAATTTCTAACTTGAGCAACCAGGTAATGCCACTCACTGGGATGAGAATACTGGGGACCAAGAACGTTTGAAGATGGAGACACTGAGTTTAGTCTTGGATGAGCTAAATTTGTGGTGCTGATGGGGACATTTAGGTGTAGACCAGCAGGTAGTTGAATATTGAAGGTTGAATTTAAAGGGGGAAATTGGTACTAAGGGAGGGTTTTTCAAAATTAGTTGAATGAGACTTATGCATTTTGATAGGCTGGGGAAAGGAAGGTTTAATGGGGATGTATCCAGAGGAATTGCTCCCCTTGGACAGGAAGAGGTGGGTGTGTGAAAGGTAAAAATGTTTGTTTCTGTAGATGTGGTGGGTGGAGGGGAGCTTGAAGGCACTCTCACTGTTTGCCCCTATTTCTCTTGTGAAAAAGGAAGCAAGGTCATCTGCTGACAATGGAGAGATAGAGTTGAGAATGGAAGAAGGGGGACACATTTATGATATGTGTATGTGAAACGTCAGTAATTTGTGTCTTCAGATAAAATTGTATTTTATTTTAAGCAGTGTGGCTGTATGGTGTGGTGGAAAAAGCCTGAAACTTGGATAGAATCAAGAAACCAGGGTTTTAGTACCAGCCCTGGTATTGACTCACTATTTGACACTTGACAAATCGTTTTCCCTGTCTGGGCTTCAATTTCCTTATTTATAAAATGAGAGGGGTGGGAATTTATCTCAAGGTGTCATGCAGTTTGATGGTTCTGAGTCAATACCAAAAAATTTAAATTTAGCATATAAATGAAAACAAATATTTACATTATATATAGAATCGTAATGAGAAATACTATGTCAAAAATTGGATGCGATTCAAATATACATTTTATTTTAAGTCACCCTAAAAGTAATTGATGCATTAGAAAAGATAAGAAATTCTATAAAGATATAGGTCTGTTAGGATTTCTGACTAAGGGTGTGCAATAATATATAACACTCATAATCTTTAAACTGTTTGGTAGTCATAAATCTGTCTTCACAAAATACCCTGGGAGACTGTTTCCCTTTTAAGATGGTATGGAAACTGAGGCAAGGAAATTGTGACTTGTCTAGAGCTTTGAAGGAATCTTGCAGTCCTGTTTATTAAAGCCAGGACGTGAGAAGGGTCATATTTGGCTGATTTTCTTTACTTGAAATGAAAAGGCTCTGGAGGAAGCTTGTAGGGAAACTGGATCATGTCACCTTCACCTAATGACATGAAGCATATCCTATCAACAAGATTATCTTCTTTTAAGGGATACTTTAGAAGCTTCTTGAGAGCAGAAAACTATATACAACCCGTCTGGATATTTTTTACAGTTTCTAAAACGCATAGTAGGAACTAAATATGTAGTAGTTGAATAAGATTTTCTTTTTAAGCATTGTGTTTTAGAATGAGAAAATTAGACTTTTCCCAGTAATGCCTGGCCATAATCAGAAAAGTAATGGCTGATCCTCAGGTTCAGAGTTTTGCTCACAGAGAAGTGAGCTCTTATACTTTGTTCCTGGCAGGAAATTTGTTCTTGCCCAACTTGCTCTCTGGAATGAGAAAGTGGACTTTGGCCTTTTACTAAGCTCCTGTGTCCCAGTGTAACTGAAAATTTTCTTTACTGTTTTCCCATCTAGATGTTCAAAGCAATGGTGCCTCCTCCTATCTACCCCAAAGGTTTTTGTAATGATAGCTCTTCAGGACACTGAGCTCTTAGAAGAAAGGTATATTTAGATGAAAAGTACTATCATATACAAAACAGACACTTTTCAGCCAAGATACATTTTAAAACCAAAATGAATACAGTTTCTGGAGTGTCAGTTAATAAATATAAATGAATATACTGAACTTATCTGCATCATAGGGGAACTGAAAGAAGTAATTGATGCTTATAAACTTTCTGGAAGTCTTTGAATTAAAGAGTCTAAAATGTGTAAGGTATGATTACCTTCCTTATTATGAAAGTTATAATTAATACACACACACATTGTTCAATTCAGATTCACAGCTAGGACTTGTTTAAATTGAACAAACCCTTTAAAATTAATATTTGGGGAGGTAGTCTCTATTCCCTCTAGAGTTCTCACTCATTTGGGTGGGCACAAACTTATACAGATTCTAGTCTCACCCAAGTACATTCTGCCACCTGTATTTTTTTTTTTGAGATGGAGTTTCACTCTTGTTTCCCAGGCTGGAGTGCAATGGAGTGATCTCGGCTCACTGCAACCTCCACCTCCCGGGTTCAAGTGATTCTCCTGCTCAGCCTCTGAAGTAGCTGGGATTACAGGCACGCGTCACCATGCCTGGCTAATTTTTGTATTTTTAGTAGAGAGGGGGTTTTACCATGTCGGTCAGGCTGGTCTCAAACTCCTGACCTCAGGTGATCCACCAGCCTCGGCCTCCAAAAGTGCTGGGATTACAGGCGTGAGCCACCGCACCCGGCCCTGCCACCTGTATTTTATAATTTTAGTAATCTGCCTTGCATTCATGGCAGGAAAAACTTAAATAACCCTGTGTTATTTATTCAAGCTTCACAGAAATCAGGAGCCAAATAAGAGGGAGGAGAGATATTTCTGCATTTAGCAAGGTTACTTCAGATGGCTGGACGTTCTCTGTGACATTTGCTTTAAAAATATTCTTCCAGTTTCATTAAACTGTCTTTGATAGATATCAACCAAATATTCCCTGTAGTCTAGTTTTTCACATTCCTAAATGATTGGCATTAGAGTTAGAAGGGGAAAAGGGATATACGAGTAAATGGGCTGAGATGGGGGGCAGACAGTTGGAAGAACTCATGGGGCAGGGCAAAGGAGTGACCAGTATTCATTAAGCAACAAAAAGCTGTGGAACTTTTTAGAAGTATACTGTATTTTCATTCATTTGCTGAGAATGTAGATACAATTTGTTCAGATTACAAAGGAATGTCCCACTTAGGAACATACTGTTCAGAAGGACAGAGAACAAAATGTTTCTGCCCAAGCTCACTTGCTCAGGGTGTGCTAGGGAAAAGAAAAAACTTACCATTTTTATAGTTCAAAACCACTCGAATACTCTCCACTGTAAAATTCTTTTAACTTTGCTGTGGATTTGAATTTTCTACAATAAAATGTCAGAGGAAAAAATAGAAATGTCTCTTTACTCCTATTCCACTACCACCCCTCCCTACTTCAGGCATCAAGCACACAGAATCAGAGCTCAGTGAATCTTTCTAATTACTTTGTAAATTATATATTCTAGAATGTTCTTTGCCATTCTAAGGTGAAATTTAGGCATTCCTCTCTCATCACCTAAGGAGGCGACAATAATATTATCAGAGCCGAACTATAGTAAGAGGTCTTTAAATACATTGAATCGTACAGGACATAGAAAATGTGGTAATAACAGACCCATACACACACATTATTAATACCCAAGTAGCCAGAGGTGATCTGAGGTTTTCCTCTTTGGAGGTGACAGACCAAGAGGTACACAGAGAAACAGTTCACAGTAAAAGAAAAGAAAAGAAAAAAGCAGTGGTCTTCATTATGTGGTATGCCCTGTAGGTTCTTTAAAAAAATGTGGATTGACTGTTTAAAAAGTGAAGTAACCAAATCTTATTGTTCAATTACTGTTGCAATTATGAGGATTGTATTTTCCAAACCCAAACTGGGACATACACTTTGAAACTGGGACTGCCTAGAAAATTCAGAATGTGTGATATATCCAGCAGTCTGATTCTGGTCTCTTTCTTTGTACTCCATAGAACTGAAGGAAAACATTTGAGACAAAATTCTATGAAGGTTTGTTATGAATCTCATTTTATGTTAAGGGACAATTGGCATTTTTGAATTGGAGTCCTGGGGCTGAAAGCACATGTGCATAATGTAAATATCTTAATTATCATTCATTATCCATCTTCAGAGGTACATTATTATACATAATTATGCATATGCCTCTAAAGAGGTATGGTTTTTACCTACAGTGACCACAGTTCCCAAATCCCAAACCAAGAAGCATAATCAGCATGATTTAACAAGGAGATTGGATTTTTTGAAATCTGGGCTGTCCTGAAAAAGCTCAAATATCCCTTGGCAATATCTGTGTCGAATATGCATGCACCTTTTAATAAAGCAAGGCAGAATAGGCCTGTTGTTCCGAGGAAAAAGGTCAGAAGAAGGTCATGGGTGGGTGACCTTGGAGCCATTTGGTCATATCTCTTTTGCAGCTGGGAGGAGTGAGGAAGGTTAACAGCAAAAGCTCTAAGAAAAAAAAAAACAAAAAAACCTAAGGTCTCCATTTGGCATTAGAGTAAAAAGAGAAAAAGAAACTAGCATTTTGAAGGGCAGGCAGTACCCTGGGAGGATTCTCTCTTAGACTGGGGACTTGGACCCTGGGCTCACTGTGTGTGAGCATAAAAGCAGTGATGGGCTGAATTATATACCCCGAAACTTATATGTTGAAATCCTAACTCCAAGTACATCAGAATGTGACTGTATTTAGAAATAGGATGTTTAAAGAGGTAGTTACGTTGAATGAGTTTAATTGGGTGTGACATAATCCAATCGGATTGGTGTCCTTAAGAGAAGATTAGGACACAGACACACACTCATGGAAGACCATGTGAAGACACATGGAGAAGATGGCCAGGAGACGAGACACAAAAGAAACCAAACCTGCAGACTTCTAACCTCCAAAACTGTGAGACGGTAAATTCCTGTTGTCTAAGCCACCCAGTCTGTGGTACAGTCAGTCCTCTTTTCCATGGGTTCAGCATGTGCAAATTCAATCAATCATGGATTCAAAATTTCTAGAAATAGCAGTACAACAGTAACAATAACACAAAATTTTAAAAAATACAGTATAACAACTATTTACGTAGCATTTACATTACATTAGGGATAAGTAATCTGGAGATGATTTAAAATATATGAGAAGATGTGTGTAGGTTATATGCAAATACTATACCATTTTAAGTAAGGGACTTGAGCCTCCAGGGATTTTGGTATTGTGCAACCAATCCCCATGGATACCAAGGGACGACTGTACTTTATTACAGCAGCCTGCCAAACCAGCACACCAACATAATGTTGATGCACATCAGGGACTCCAACAGGAAGGGAGCCATGTGGACCTGGAAGGGAATAGGTCCTCTGGAAATTTCTTGCCCTTGGCTTTTTATTTCTCTGGTTCTTGGAGGAAGCCCCAAAAAGAAACTTAGAAAATGTGACACACTCTGAGACCTATCGTTGTGAATTTTCTACCCTTGTTTCCAGCCTTTTCATAGTGATTTGGGCATCACATATAACCAGTGTGAGGCTTTACCAGTACTTGTATGAAATCAGCTTGCAAAGACACTGAGAAGGCTGGTGCCAGCAAAAAGATTCCTCATGATAGAACTGATGGATGTTACCCTCTAGTTCCCCCAAAGAGAGTTACAATGTCATGAGATGGCATCATCTTCAACTGATAACTCAATAGCTATTTGAATTTGATCACGTGTGCAAGGACAGTATTTGGTTGTAGTTGTTAACAGTGCCCTGGGTTATTGCGATCTCCCAGGATAGAAATCAAGAGAGATCACCAAACATAGCAGCAAAGGAAAGTTTATTCAGCTTGTGCAGAGGGATTCAGCACCAAGAAGGGGAAAAGGAATGGGCTGCTTCTTGAAGGTAGTCTGTGGGTTAGGGCAATAGGGATTTTCTAGAGGAAACTATTACATCAGGGCATGTAGGAGGGGTTTTTCTAGTGCTTGTGCATTAGCTCAACATGCTCCTTCATATATCATATGTAGCATTAGCATTTTAAATCTCCACCCTAGGCATAACTTTTGGCATTAAAATGAAGAGGGGTTAACCATAGTTTGGAGTTTAAGACTAAGTGTACATGAGGGGCCCCAGGGAAATCCCTAGCCTCCTGAAGTAGAAACTTTCTATTAATATCTTCTTGGATCTTTTGTTACTGATTGGCTGAAAGTTAGGTAAGCTACAGCTTGAGTAGTAGATTCTTGTTATTTTCCTCTAGACCATATTAAAACATGAAACCCTTAGGCAAAAAATTCATGACCAAGAACCCAAAAGCAAATGCAATGAAAACAAAAATAAATAAATGGGAACTAATTAAAGAGCTTCTGCACAACAAAAGAAATAATCAGCAGAGTAAAGGAACAACCCACAGAGTGGGAGAAAATCTCCACAAATTATGCATCTGACAAAGGTCTCATATCCAGAATCTACAAGGAACTCAAACAAATCCGCAAGAAAAAACAAATAATCCCATCAAAAAGTGGGCAAAGGACACAAATAGACAATTCTCAAAAGAAGATACACAAATGGCCAAGAAACATATGAAAACAATGCTCAACATCACTAAAAATGCAAATTAAAACCACAATGAGATACCACCTTATTTCTTCAAGAATTGTTATAACTAAAAAATCAAAAAATAGTAAATGTTGGCATGGATGTGATAAAAAGGGAACACTTTTACACTGCTGGTGGGCATGTAAACTAGTACAACCACTATGGAAAACAGAATGGAGATTCCTTAAAGAACTAAAAGTAGAACTACCATTCAATCCAGCAATCCCATTACTGGGTATCTACCCAAAGGAAATGAAGTCATTATATGGAAAAGACACGTGTACGCACATCTTTATAGCAGTGCAATTTGCAATTGCAAAAATATGGAGCCAACCTAAATAACCATCAACCAACAAGTGAATAAACAAAGTGTGGTATACATACACCATGGAATACTACTTAGCCATAAAATGGAACAAAATGATGGCCTTTGTAGAAACTTGGATGGAGCTTGAGGTCAGTAATCTAAGTGAAGTAACTTAGGAATGGAAAACCAAATATCATATGTTATCACTTATAAGTGGAAGCTAAGCTATGAGGACACAAAAGCACAAGAATTATATAATGGTCTTTGGGGACTCTGGGGGAAGGGTGGGAGGGGGTGAGGGATAAGAGTACATACTGGGTATAGTGTACACTGCTCAGGTAATGAGTGCATCAAAATCTCAGAAATCACCGCTAAAGAACTTATCCATGTAACCAAAAATTACCTGTTCCTCAAAAACTTTCTAAATTAAAATTAAAAAATAAAATAAATCAGGGAAGCAACCAGCCTGCCTATTTCATTCCTCCCTGAGAGATTGTATCCTCCTTATTCTTAAGGGGTTCTGGGTGAAGGTCTTTTTTTCTGTAGCTACTTTCTGCTGAGCATGGGCATACTCCCTATCTTTATCCCTGGGAGGAACAGTCATCTCTCATAACTTGGTAAAGAGGCCAATATGGTCTGGACTGGCGGCCTACAGAATTGGCTGGAAGCCTTGTATGACAACTAACTTGACATAAAATTGTTATCTGGAACACAAAAATTTTACTAGTAGGTTAAACAAACATTAAACAAACAACAGCCCAGAAATTAATAGAAAAAGCATGGCCAGTAAGGGCCCCAAGAAGGGAAGAAACCAAGTTATATAGGGTAAGGCTGATTTTACAGCATTCCATATCGAGTCAGCTGTTGGATTCCCTTTACCTAAAGAGTGTAGCCACTTTGCCTGATTACAAATTGTTTGGATGTTAACTTCTATTTGCCCTGTAGTATTTATCCAAGTACAGCGGGAGGTGTTGGCGACAGTGCATATGCCTCCTTGTTCTGCCAATAGATAGTCTAGGTCTAAGTGGTTATCCAACACCACATTAGCAAGAAAATTGATGGAGGTCTTCAGAACTTTCAGAGCCTTTCCTGTCTTGTCTACTATATGACCAGTCTGTCATGTCAGATTACATAAGGTTACCTCACAGTAAGGGAAGACTCCGTAAAAGGCTACTAGTCCAATATTTAGGCCTATTCCCACTGTGACCATGCCGAGGCCTCACCTTGCTCAACTAGGGGCCTGATGTTGGCAGGTAGAGTTACAGAAGATTACTTCATTTATCATTTCCAAGGCACATTTACCCACGAATTGTATATTGTCTATGCAAGAATAGGCCTGAGCCAGTGGAGAAAATGTATAAGAGAAGTAGGACGTGACCCATGGGAGGTGGCTATTAGGGTGACCATAAAGAAAAACAATTCTGGGAGGAGTGCAAATGCAAATGTCCTCCTGGGTGTTATTGAGAATTGTGAGGTTCAGGTTATTAATTGTGCAACTGGGGCCTTGATAATTGTCTGTGTGTTGCTCCATGATTTAATGTACTAGGTAGTCAGGGATGACCTTTGAGGTACCTTGGAGTATGGCAGATCTGCCCCCGTAACTGAGCTTGTAAATTGCTGTGAACCCTTGGGGCAGTGTAAAGCCGTATTTCTAAAGTGGTGGGATGTTACCCTGCCAGTATTCACATTGCTCTGAGTGATCAGAAAGCGTTTTGCTAGCAGGTTTGGGCCCATATATTTTTAGTAATTCTATAGGGCACCAATGAGTTAACTTATATGTGCAGAATTTTAAGTTACAGGCGGGGTACCAAGTAAAGTTGTAATGAGAAGGAAAATTGCAAGGAATACATCCTGCTCAGGTGTAGTTTAATTCCTCATTTTCTATAGCGAGAGAATAGTTTTTAGCTGGGGGAAGGGCATAACAAGGAACTTGATGGGTAGGAAGCAGTCTGGCAGCTAAAGGATAGGGTTTAGATAGCTGGCCTCTATTTAAGTGATATATGATCAGGTTTAGGGTAGACAGGTTTAAGGATCTGCAAAAGGAACACCCAAAGAGAATTGGGGGTGCCTGTGACAAATCCAGCAGTTAGAAAGGGATTCTCCTCTACTGATGATTTTGGAGAAGCTGACTAGGCTATTGCGATTCCAGGGGCCTTGCACCCAGACTAAAAGGAAGAGGGTATAATGAGAGCATGATTAATATTCAAGGCAGGATGCCAGTTTGGTTAATAATTATGCACTTGTAAGTGACTTGATTCTAGCCAATAGGGAGCAGACAGAGTGATGTCAACCAGTAGATTATTAAGAAAACACTAACAATTAACAGGAAGAGTAAGCACACTCATATCAGTTATTTATTTAAGAGTATTGCTTAGTTTTATTGCTGCCTTCCAGAGGCAGCTTCCTGAACAAATACTTGAGGTCCTCTGTAGGCTTCCCGGAGTAGACTGTTTCCTCTGAAAAGGCCTGTTCATCAGGAGAAGCAAAAGGTTTTATTCTAGAGACATGGACTCAAGTCGGAAGTCCTTCCAACGTTATGACTGTTGGAGTGGACAAGATAACCTGGTAAGGACCCTTCTATTTTTCAGTTAACTGATCCTCCGGGTTTCCTTCTCACCAAGTCTTGAGTAGGACCTGTGAACCTGGGCTAACACGGAAATGATCTGAAATCCCCTTTCCTAGCTGAGGTAATCTTATTACTATATTGAATGATTGACTGCTGAACTCGTCCCAAGTTAATGATGTATTTTAGAGCCTGATTTAAATCTTCATCTAGCAGAAAGCTTGTTTTGAGAAAAGGCCACCCACAGATCATTTCAAAGGGGTTCAGCTTTATGTTTCCCTTTGGGACAGCTTTTAATCTTAGTAAGGCAATAGAAAGAAACTTAATCTGTGATTCCTTGGTGTTTTGGCATAGTTTAGCCAAGGTTTTGTTTGTTTGTTTGTTTGTTTCTTAAAGAGTTTGGTTTATTCTTTCAACCTTCCTGGAATACTGAGAATGTCAGGTGGAGTGAAGTTTGTACTGGATGCCAAGACTGCTAGACAGTCCTTGGGTGACCCGGGTGATAAAAGATGGCCTGTTGTCACTTTGTAGGGAGGCTGAGAGCCTTAACCTAGGAATTATTTTTTTTAAGCAGCCATTTACAAACTTTAGATACTTTCTCTGTCCACATGGGAAAAGCTTTCCCCCAGCCTGTGAAAGTGTCTGCCAAAAATAAAAGATATTTGAATCCCCCTTTGGGAGCATCTGTGAAAAATCAGTTTGCAATCCCCTCCAAGACAGGTCCCCCAGTGTTGCACTAGAGCAGTCAGAGGTGGAGCCGGTAGATGGGCTTGGGGATTATTTCTAAGACAAATTTCATATGCCTGAATTACCTGATCCACTGTGGTTTTTAAAGCCTTGCCCAGTAGGAGATTTTGAATTAAATTTCATAGTGAGCCCCTCCTATAATAAGTTGCCTCATGAAGGCCCTTTATGATTTTCCACTGGTCAGCTTCTGGTAAGAAAAGGCATCCTTGCTAATCTTCTAGACATCCCTGACCATTTAAATTGTATCCCTCCTCCTCTGGCAATTTCTGTTTTAATTGGCTCTATTGGGGATTTCAAGGCAAAGTGGAGGGTCTTATTACAAGGGCCAAAGTGTCAGGTTACCCTATCCACGCTGCCTGTTTGGCACTTTATCAGCCTGGTTGTTTCCTTGGTTGATCAAAGAACTGTCCTTTTGGTGCCCTTTACAGTGTATAACAGCTATTTGGTCAGGGAGTTGAACTGACTCAAAAAAGGATAGAATCACTTCCTTATCTTTTATCAGGGAGCTCCTAGCAATCAATATTAACCTCTCTTTCTAGACGGCTGCATGAGCATGGAGCACCAGGAATCTATACTTAGAGTCAGTAGATACATTAAGTCTTCTTCCTTCCCCAAGCTGAAGAGCCCCGAGTAGGGCTCTGAGCTCTTTTCCTGAGCTGAAGTGCTTAGGGGAAGTGCTTTGTTTCTGTGGCTTAGTTTAGGCTGACAGCATGTCCTGCCTTCCAGACTCCATTCTCTACAAAGGTACTCCCATGTAAACCATTCTTCATCTGGATTTTCTAAGAGGGTGTCCTGTAGGTCCATTCAGCTAGAATAGGTCTTCTCTAAAGTCTCCAAACAGGTGTGTTCCGGTGTCTCGAAAGTGAGTGACGGAAGCAGGGTGGCAGGTTTCAAGGTCTAACATACCTTTAAGGTCTGGGGTGTCCAGTAGCAGGGCCTGGTATTGAGTTAACCTCCCCCCAGTCAACCAGTGGTGCCCTTCTATTTCTAACACATCCTGGACCTGGTGGGGAGTGTAAACGTCAAGGAGTTGGCCTGTGTGAGTTTGGAGACCTCTCTAACCAGGAGGCTAGGGGCTGCCAGTGCTCTAAGGCAGCTGGGCCACCCCTGGGCTATTGGGTGTAATTGCTTTGAAAAGTAAGCCACTGGCCTTTGAAGAGGCCCTAGCTTCTGAATTAGGACTTCCAGGGCTTATCCATACCTCTCATGTACAAAAAGAAAGAAAGTCTTCCACAAATCTGGGCAAGTTCCACACATCCCAAGGCAGGAGCCTGCCAAAACTCAGATTTTAGAGTTTCATATGCTTGCTAGAAAACCTTTTTCCCAGTGGAACAGTTCTTTTTCTCCACCCTTGAGTACCTCATAAAGGGGTTTAACTATGAGGTCAAAGTTTGGGACCCAAATCTGACAGAAGCTGGCCATCCCCAGAAATCCCCATAGCTCTCTTCTATTACCAGGGACCAGTAGGAAGCAATTGCCTTTTTTCAGTCTGGGGTGAGTATTCTGGCTCCTGCAGTAAGTATGAATCCTAGATAGTGAACCTGTATCTTGGAGATCTGAGTCTTTGAATAGGAGCTCTTATATCCGTAGTCAGCCAAGGAACTTAAGATTTTAGTAGTATTTTGTTGAGAATCATGGAAGTCCTCACTAAGAATAAGCAAATTGTCCCCATCTTGCATACACCCTTTCAGGACTGAGCCAGGAAGGAATTGAGTCCCTAAACAGACCAATAATGAGCTCTGAAATTGAATCAATAATAAATAGCCTACCAATCAAAAAAAAAAAAAAAAAAAACCTGGCACCTGATGGATTCACAGCTGAATTCTACAAGATTTACAAAGAAGAGCTGGTACAATTCCTACAGAAACTATTCCAAGAAAATTGAGGAGGATGGAATCCTCCCCAATTCATTCTATGAAGCCAGAATCATCTTGATACCAAAACATGGCAGAGACACAACAAAAAAAGAAAACTTCAGGCCAATATCCTTGATGAACATTGATGCAAAAATCCTCAGCAAAATACCTGCAAAACAAATTCATCAGCACATTAAAAAGCTAATCCACCATGATCAAGTAGGCCTCATCCCTGGGATGCAAGTTTGGTTCAACATACTCAAATCAATAAATATGATTCACCCCATAAACAGAACTAAAGACAAAAATTGCATGAGTATGTCAATCGATGCAGAAAAGGCTTTAAATAAAATTCAACACCGCTTCATGTTAAAACTCTTAAAAAATTAGGAATTGAGGGAACATACCTCAAAATAATAAGGGCCATCTATGAAAAACCCACAGTCAATATTCATACTAAATGGGCAAAAGCTAAAAACATTCCCCTTGAAAACCAGCACAAGGCAAGGATGCCCTGTCTCACCACTTCTATTCAACATAGTATTGGAAGTCCTAGCCACAGCAATCAGGCAAGAGAAAGAGATAAAGGACATCTAAATATGATGAGAGGAAGTCAAACTATCTCTGTTTGCAGATGATATAATTTTATATCTAGAAAATCACACAGTCTCAGTTGAAAATCTCCTCCAGCTGATAAATAATTTCAGCAAAGTTGCAGGGTACAATATCAATGTACAAAAATTACTAGCATTCCTATACACCAACAACAGCCAAACCAAGAGCCAAATCAGAAAAGCAATCCCACTCGCAATTGCCACAAAAAGAATAAAATACCTAGGAATACAGCTAACCAGGGAGATGAAATGTCTCTATAATGAGAATTATGAAACACTGCTGAAAGAAATCAGAGAAGACATAAACAAATGGAAAATCATCTCATGATCATGGTTAGGTAGAATAAATATCATTAAAATGTCTATACTGCCCAAAGCAATTTACAGATTTAGTGCTGTTCCTATTAAACTACCAAGGCCATTCTTCATAGAACTAGAAAAAAAAACTATTTTAAAATTCATATGGAACCAAAAAAGAGCCTGAATAGCCAAGGCACTGCTAAGGAAAAAGAACAAAGTTGGAGGCATAATGTTACCTGACTTCAAACTATACTACAAGGCTATAGTAACCAAAACAGCATGGTATTGGTACAAAAACAGTCATGTAGACCAATGGAACAGAATAGCCTAGAAATAAGGCCACACATCTATGACCATCTGCCCTTTGACAAAGCTGACAAAAACTAGCAATGGAGAAAAGACTCCCTATTCAATAAATGGCGCTGGGATAACTGGCTAGCCATGTGCAGAAGATTGAAGCTGGACGCCTTCCTTATACCATACACAATAACCAACTCAAGATGAATTAAAGACTTAAATGTAAAACCAAAAACTCTAAAAACTTGGAAGACAGCCCAGGTAATACCATCCTGGACATAGGCATGGGCAGAGATTTCATGATGAAGACACCAAAAGCAATCATGACAAAAGCAAAAATTGAAAAGTGGGATCTAATTAAACTTAAGAACTTCTGCACAGCAAAAGAAACTATCAACAGAGTGAACAGACAACCTAGAGAGTGGGAGAAAATATTTGCAAACTATGCATGTGACAAAAGTCTAATATGCAGCATCTATAAGGGACTTAAACAAATTTACAAGACAAAAACAACCCCATTAAAAAGTGGACAAAGGACATGAACAGACACTTCTCGAAAGAATACATTCATGTGGCCAAAAAACATGTGAAAGAAAGCTCAACATTATTGATCATTAGAGAAATGCAAATCAAATCCACAATGAAATACCATCTCATGCCAGTCAGAATGGTGATTATTAAAAAGTCAAAAAATAACAGATACTGGCAAGGTTACCAAGAATAAGGAACACTTTTACATTGTTGGTGGGAGTGTAAATTATTTCAACCATTGTGGAAGACAATGTGGTGATTCCACAAAGACCTAGAAGCAGAAATACCATTTGACCCAGCAATCCTATTACTGAGTATATACCCAAAGGAATATAAATCGTTCTATTATAAAGATACATGCATGCGTATGTTCATTGCGGTGCTATTCACAATAGCAAAGACATGGAAGCAACTTAAATGCCCATCAATGACCAGCTTGGATAAAGAAAATGTGGTGCATATACACCTTGGAATACTATGCAGCCATGAAAAAGGAATGAGATCATATCCTCTGTAGGGACATAGATGGAGCTGGAGGCCATTATCCTTAGCAAAAAAACAGAGGAACAGAAAACCAAATACCACATGTTCTCACTTATAAGTGGGAGCTTAATGATGAAAACACATGGACACATAGATGTGAACAACATGCCCTGGGGCCTGTCAAAGAGTGGAGGGTGAGAGGAGGGAAAGGAAAGGAACAATTAACTATTGTGTACTAGGCTTAATACCTGAGTGATGAAATGATATGTATATCAAAGCCCCGTGACATGTGTTTACCTATGTAACAAACTTTCATATGTACCCCCAAACCTAAAATAAAAGTTAAAAAAAAAAAGGCTGGGTGCAGTGGCTCACACCTGTAATCCCAGCCCTTTGGGAGACTGAGGTGGGCGGATCACGAGGTCAGGAGATTGAGACCATCCTGGCTAACACGGTGAAACCCCGTCTCTACTAAAAATACAAAACAAATTACCTGACGTGGTGGCGGGCACCTGTAGTCCCAGCTACTCAGGAGGCTGAGGCAAGAGAATGGTGTGAACCCGGGAGGCAGAGCTTGCAGTGAGCTGAGATTGCGCCACTGCACTCTAGCCTGGGGGATAGAGCAAGACTCTGTCTAAAAAAAAAAAAAAAAAAAAAAAAAAGATATTAAAAGACACACTACAGACCTGTAGAAAATATTTGTGTATTATAAACTTGCTAAGAATTGTATTAAGAATGTATAAAAAACTCATTCAACTCAATAATAATAAAAGTTAAAATCTATTTATTTTATTTTATTATTATTATACTTTAAGTTTTAGGGTACACGTGCACAATGTGCAGGTTAGTTACATATGTATACATGTGCTGTGCTGGTGTGCTGCACCCATTAACTCGTCATTTAGCATTAGGTATATCTCCTAAAGCTATCCCTCCCCCCTCCCCCCACCCCACAACAGTCCCCAGATAGTGATGTTCCCCTTCCTGTGTCCATGTGTTCTCACTGTTCAATTCCCACCTATGAGTGAGAATATGTGGTGTTTGGTTTTTTGTTCTTGCGATAGTTTACTGAGAATGATGATTTCCAATTTCATCCATGTCCCTACAAAGGACATGAACTCATCATTTTTTATGGCTACATAGTATTCCATGGTGTATATGTGCCACATTTTCTTGATCCAGTCTATCATTGTTGGACATTTGGGTTGGTTCCAAGTCTTTGCTATTGTGAATAGTGCCGCAATAAACATACGTGTGCATGTGTCTTTATAGCAGCATGATTTATAGTCCTTTGGGTATATACCCAGTAATGGGATGGCTGGGTCAAATGGTATTTCTAGTTCTAGATCCCTGAGGAATCACCACACTGACTTCTACAAGGGTTGAACTAGTTTACAGTCCCACCAACAGTGTAAAAGTGTTCCTATTTCTCCACATCCTTTCCAGCACCTGTTGTTTCCTGACTTTTTAATGATTGCCATTCTAACTGGTGTCAGATGGTATCTCATTGTGGTTTTGATTTGCATTTCTCTGATGGCCAGGGATGGTGAGCATTTTTTCATGTGTTTTTTGGCTGCATAAATGTCTTCTTTTGAGAAGTGTCTGTTCATGTCCTTCGCCCACTTTTTGATGGGGTTGTTTGTTTTTTTCTTGTAAATTTGTTTGAGTTCATTGTAGATTCTGGATATTAGCCCTTTGTCAGATGAGTAGGTTGCGAAAATTTTCTCCCATTTTGTAGGTTGCCTGTTCACTCTGATGGTAGTTTCTTTTGCCGTGCAGAAGCTCTTTAGTTGAATTAGATCCCATTTGTCAATTTTGTCTTTTGTTGCCATTGCTTTTGGTGTTGTAGACATGAAGTCCTTGCCCACGCCTATGTCCTGAATGGTAATGCCTAAGTTTTCTTCTAGGGTTTTTATGGTTTTAGGTCTAACGTTTAAGTCTTTAATCCATCTTGAATTAATTTTTGTATAAGGTGTAAGGAAGGGATCCAGTTTCAGCTTTCTACATATGGCTAACCAGTTTTCCCAGCACCATTTATTAAATAGGGAATCCTTTCCCCATTGCTTGTTTTTCTCAGGTTTGTCAAAGATCAGATAGTTGTAGACATGCAGCGTTATTTCTGAGGGCTCTGTTCTGTTCCATTGATCTATGTCTCTGTTTTGGTAACAGTATCATGCCGTTTTGGTTACTGTAGCCTTGTAGTATAGTTTGAAGTCAGGTACCACTTCTATTTTTTTTTAAAAAAAGAAAAGGGTACATGTATCCAAACTGTCCTTCCAGCGCCATCTGTTACCTCCCAGAGGGGAAAGTATCTCTGAGCTGGTGGAGAAGTAAAGGAAGGTGCAAGCTTGGAACCTGATCAGAGCCCCATTGGGAATAGCATTGGAGGTTGTTGGGAAGTGGAAGGGGAAGTCCTTCCTGACCCAGCCTAATATGGAGGAGGCTCAGAGTGAGAGGAAGGAGGACCCACCAGGGCAGAAGGACTCATTGCTCCTGCCTTCCCCTGGAGAGGTGTTGAGAAGACAGCATCTACAGGGTCAAAGTCTAAAGCAGAAATTGGCTCCTCTTTCAACTGTTTAAGAGATGCCACACAGACTCTGCAGGAGTCCCGGAGTTTTGGATCCTGGTTTAATTTTATAAAAGCCAGCACATATGGGATCTCAATGCATTTATTAGAAATTTTCTGCAATACAATTTCAATTGTAAATAGTGTTATAACTCAAAGACCCCATTCCTAGGCTGTGTCTCTTTGTCCCCCTGGGGATTCCAAAGCCAAGCAACATTACAGAGAAACATCAGCTTCTTTTTCTTTAGATTATCCAATTCAAATTCATCTCAATTACTCAGGATGCATCCTAGGGAGAAATCTTTTGGTATGCCTGCAGTGTTTTCCGTGGTAGACCTGGTGTCCTATGATTAAGTAGCCTGGTGAGGGATGGAACCCTTGGCTCTGACAAACCCCTCTTCTTCCCACCCAACCCAGACCCTCAGAAACCTGGTGAGAACCAGGCAAGACAAGGAGGACAGAGGGAAGGGAGCTGACTGAGGGAGCTTGAGAGACTCTAGCTCTCAAATTTTCTGGCCACAGCCCTCAAAATCTAATAGGTTGTAGATTTTGCACCAGCTCTAAGTAGAACCTACTGTATATTTACATTCATTGGCACTGACTCTATCAAGAGATAACATGATGGACTAGACAAACCAAAAAAGTAAAGTGGTGATCTGGTCTAGTGAGTAAGGCCTTCTCCCAGGAATTGTGAAGGGTCAGGCTCACATGCAACAAAGACCATCAAAGGAAGTACATTTTCACTTAGACAAATGACAAAACAGATTTCCAGTTTCCAGACCCCATAAAGAAGACAAAAATTGAGGAAAGTACTGAGAAATTTCAAAGTCTGAGACAAAAGGGAACTCCAGGTTGCTGACTACTTTTTAGCCAGCTCACGAACAGGGGACAATTTTTCAGCTCAATACCAGAAAGCTGAGCCAGATTCACTCCAGCTACCCAAACAAAATACCAGATGGGTAAATAGGAATCACTCCCATTGGCCAAACAGAAACTGAAACCAGGGTTCCAAGAGCTGATTAATTAAACACCAGGACTCCTGAAGAGTCAAAACAGACTGAAAAGGAAGAAGGTGAAGGGAAAAAAAGGAAAGCAAAGGGAAGATAGAAGATGAATGAAAGGGAACGGGGACACACTCAGAGTCTGGATCTGATTCACCAAGGCGCTAACACTGAAACAGTGGTCCAGAGTGCCAGCTTTTGTTCATGTCTGGTCAGACACCTCCATCCTCTGGGCAATCTCACTCACTCTCCTGGGACCTAAAAGGAGAGCCTCACCTGGGGTGCCACAAAATGTTACCAGCATCATGGATTCTTGTGATTGCCCAGGATAGAAACCAAAAGAGATAACCAAACATAGCAGCAAAGGAAAGTTTATTCCGCTTGTGCACAGGGGAGTCAGCACCAAGAAGGGAAAAGAAATGGGTTGCTTATCGAGGGTAGTCTGTGAGTTAGGTTTACAGGAGTTTTCTACAGGAAAGTATTACATTCGAGCATGTATAGGAGTAGGAGGGATTTTTCTAGTGCTTGTGCATTGGCTCAACATGCTTTTTCATACATCATATGTAGAATTAGCATTTTACATCTCCACCTCTGGGCATGATTTTTAACATTAAAATAAGGAAGGGGTAACTGTAGTTCGAAGTTTAACTCTAACTGCACATGCAGGGCCCTGGGGAAGTCCCTAGCCCCCGAAGCAGGAATTTGTGGTTAACAGCTTCTTGGGTCTTTTATTACTGATTGGTTGAGAGTTAGGTAAGCTACAGCTTGAGTAAGGAACTTGCATTCTTTTACTCCAGACCATATTAAAACAGGGAACCAACCAGCCTGCCTGTCTCATAGCTAGTTTGCTTTAATCTGTTCCCAGCTTACCTTCCTTTTCTCAGATGAAATGAGACTCATGTTAACCAAAATGCCATCCTACCTTTTGTCTTTTGACTAGACACATTGTAGAGGTTTGGATTTGTTAACCTGGAATGGGAAAGGCTGAGAGGGGAAATGATCCTGGGTATGCTAATGAGCAGAAAGAAAACAAGGATGGCACGGATACCTCTCTCTCCCCCTTCTATGTGTGTCCTCTACCTGTTGTACATTCGTATGAGATAGGTATTAATATAACCTACACTTCGTAGGTGACGAAACAGTCTCAGAGAGTGAAAGGGACTTGACCAAAGTCACAGAGCCAGTGAGTGACAGGGTCAGGGAGAGAAGCCACGTCTGCATGACTCAAAGCTTATGTCTCTAATTACCCTACATACTACCCCGCCGCCTTTGCAAGTTATAAATAGGTCATGCTGGCTTTACTCATTAAGTCCTGGGTTGCTAAAGTGAAAGAAAAACTTCCTTCCCAGTATGCCTTGTACACATCCTGAAACTGAAAGAAAGCACTTTAGAACAAATTAAAGGCAGTTGTCTTCTGTGTCTTAGGGAACAAAAATACTAATTGTATTTTTAACCTCAAATTGTAGAGCCTGAAAAGACTGGCTTGAGAAGGAGCCTAGGTCATTCCCTGGACACCTAGAGGTCTAGAGGGCATAATAGAGGTCCACAAGTTTTTCTCAATGTGAAACAAACAATAATCCTCCCAACCAGACAGAGAATTTACATACGCTCCCTTTCAGACCGGGCAGGCAGACAAAGTCACAAGTGCTTTGACTTTGGGCTAAGGATTCTGTCAGGTCCATCAATCCTTTAACCTCACCTTCACAGCCATGATAGCTAACCCTGACTGAACACTTTCTGTATGCCAGCCACTGTTCCACTTCCTTTACTCCTCATAACAACCCTGAGGTTATGACTAGTATCACCTCTATTTTGCAGAAACTTGAGGGCATCTCATGCTGACAAGAAACTAATTGGGAGTTACCCAATCCTTTCAATTAATTCTTTAAAAGGGAAAATTTATTTAATTACTCCCTCATAAATGCAGGTGGTAAAGAAGGCTATTCAAATAAATAAATGCTGTTTGATATAGCAAAATATTTCAAAATGTGTAGTCCCCAGTGAGGAGAGTTCTTTATAAAGGTGGCCTTGATGATGGGAAGCTTTGGGCTGTCGATTGGCTTAGATCATATAATGAGTGATAATCTTACTGGGCTCTCAGAGAATTCCAGGAAGTCTAATGTAAACCCTAACCTTTGGGGGCCCGTCTCAGGAAGATCAGTGACCATTCTTGCTCAAATTCATCACTAGAGTCTCTGGGCTGGGTCATCGGAATGACCCATTTCATATGTAAAGTCTTTGAACACAAGAAATCAGTCATCTTGTAACACTAAGATAACACAAAAACCCAAAAACATGCAAAAAGGGACACACGTGTATGATAAATCTGTGGCTTGGGCCCCATTTATACTCTAAAATACATCACTCTTGCCTTCTGTTCTACTTATTGTCACTGGCTGCACTTTGCTAGAATGGTCAGATCCATTGGGGGTAAAAATCCCAAGCATAGCAACAGTGTCCAAGCAGAAGCAGCAGTCAAATGTTTTTAACTATCAGAGGGAAGGCCTGTGTACCAATAATCAACTCAGAAGCCAAATCAAAGTGGGTTCCACTGTAGCAGAAATGATGTGGAGTAGAACTAGCAAGGAAGGGCAAGCAGTCCCCATCTTTTAGAATTTTGCACCAGATCCATGGAAATCTCAGTCCAGCAAAATGCATCTCAGCCAGCTAGAAGAAAACCGCTGGCTGAAAGTTTAGTGGCAGAAAATGTGACCTGATTTTCTTCAGAAATAACAATGATGGTCATTGAGTGATAACTAACTACACCCCAGATACTATTCTAAGTGTATGTTATCTCATTTGATTTTCTAGAGGGATACACAGCAACCCCATTTTGCATGGAGGGCAAAAACCTCTTCTGTGTACCTCACTGGAATATGTGTTTTCAGGAAGATAGGGAAAACATGGATGGCCTGCACCTTGACAAATGTAATTGCCATGTAAATCTTATGTGCTTACTTTTCCTAATACCAGGGAGTGGTTACCTGGAGCCCTGGTGTCTTTGGAAGGACCAGATACCCCATAGCTTTTCTGCAGAAGCAGGTGAGTCAGGGGCACTTGCATACTCCTGTGAAACTCGATTCCTATGGCAACAAACAGAAACAGAAGCAGCTCCCATGCTGTGCAAAAGAACAATGGGAAGACAGCAAACTAGAAAGGGAAAATCAGACAAGATATGGAATTGCAAGAATTGTCGGTTAAGCTCAGCTTGAGTGGCTAATGCTGATACCCAATAAACTGCTGATGTTGATAATGTACTGTCTCTCTCAGTGATAGGGAGTGTTTACATTGCATGAGAGAGAGCTCTTGCCTTGTTGAAGCATGTGTTTGTGACACCATTTAACAGTCAAATAATATACTCCTTCCTGACAAGGGGCTTTTCAGTGCTCTCACATCTGGGCACTGAGAAGGAGCTTTCCAATTAATCCCAGAAACTTCCACCCATAGAAAGAGGCTGCAAGGAGGACGAGTCACTCAAGCTGAAATGGCCTGTACAGAGTATTTGGTCCAGCTCTTCATGCTTCCAGTAGGGAAACAGACCCAAGAGGTGGCCAACTGAAGGTCCTTAGATGTAAATACCAAGACCTGCACTAGAACCTGCACAAGACCTGACTCTTTTGCCCAGTGAGTCATCCCATATTTGGAATTTGAAATGTCTGCTTCAATACACTGCTATGTATTACCGTTACTTTCATTGAAATACCCTGATATTGGCAAATAAGCCCAAGGCAAGAATTTACTTGCTGATTATTTTTGCAAATCTTCAGTTCAAAGCCAATTATTTGGCCTCCTTCATTCCAAAGCAATAAGGAACAAGGCCCTCTACACCTCCGTTTTCCCATGCAATAATTTAAAAAATTAGGTGATAGTCAGTAGCTTGCTCTTTTCTCTTAGTTCTAGTCATTATTACTTAGAGTCACATTGTAAATAGTTAATACTGATTTTCAGTATGTTTTAAGAGAATAAGTGGTATCTATTGTAAGACAACATTTTTTCTTTCTTTCTTTTTTTTTTTTTTTTGAGATGGAATCTCGCTCTGTCACCGAGGCTGGAGTGCAGTGGCGTGATCTCGGCTCACTGAAACCTCTGCCTCCCAAGTTCAAGCGATTCTCCTGCCTCAGCCTCCTGAGTAGCTGGGATTATAAGTGTGTGCCACCACACCTGGCTGATTTTTGTATTTTTAGTACAGACGGGGTTTCACCATGTTGGCCAGGCTGGCCTTGAACTCCTAACCTAAGGTGATCCACCCGCCTTGGCCTCCCAAAGTGCTGGGATACAGGCATGAGCTACCATGCCTGGCCAAGACAACTTTTTTAAAGTTTTCCTTTACTAATAATATCTAGACCCAACCACTGTGTACTATCTCCTAATAAATATTTTGTAAATTTTACCCTTAAAGTTATCAAAAAATAAAATATTTTAACTTTGCCAGTCTAGGAAAACCTCAAACAACAAAACCTCTGGGTCCCTGGATGTGAGAGTTATTTTTTCCTTAATTAGCTTTTAGATATCTGCACCTATTTGCAGAGAGTTTTGTATTTTTATAATGTTTTCAGGTAAGGTATTTCCTCAACATTGCCAAGGTATTTAATTTTATCTTATGCATTGTACACATGAGGAAACATTGGGGCAAGGAGAGTTTAAATATAACAATAAAAACATGGGATTTGGAGTCAGTGAGATTCAACCCATAGCTCCTTTATATTCTAGTTGTATGATCATGGGATAATTACCCAAACTCTCCATCCTCAGTTTTCTCATCAATAAGTAGGGAAAATAATGGTACCTGCCTCCTAGGATTGAGTTCCAGGTGAAACGAGCTAATGCAAGTATGCTTGGCAAAGATGTGCTCAATAAGTGTTAGCCATTATTTCCTTGGGGATCCTGGGAAGTTTATACCACTTACATTCTACGATGCAGGATAAAAATGTGAAATATTTATTTTGAAGCCATGAATAATGTTAAATAAAAATGCAGAAATGCCAATTGTTAGTGCTGACATACACGCACCTTCTGTGTTAAACCAACTTAAACTCAATTTCTCCATCAAAAATTCCATGCTGTGAGAAAATTTTTTCTGTCACCCAAATGCTTTCCTATTTTGAATGTAACTGGTATGTTTTATTAATGCTACATTATTTCCCACTGAACCATTTTTCCTCCAGAGCATGTGATGTCATTTATAGCCACTGGCACACACATTTCTTCCATATTTTGTCAATTAAGCATGTCATAGAATTTAATATTTACAGTCTTGTATGGTTCACTGAACTAATTGCGGGAAAGAGAAATAATGACATGGGGAACAAAATAAGACATTCTGCTTTCATCAAAGAACTGGGGATAGAATCCTACCCTGTTGATTTTATTAGTGAATATTAAATATAATTATGAGGCTTATAATGAACATACTAATAACTTTGTTAAGCGTTTCAAAGAACAAATTAATATTTAAATATTTAATATCTGGGACTCAAACTTTCACACTGATGCTTGCCAATTCTCTCATAACAGACAAGATTTGCCTTAGGAAGCAGATGGTACAGCTTGTTTGTGGAAGGTAATGTTGCTTGTTGCCAAAACCTAGGTAACACAGAGGCAATCTCATTTGTGTCGGTGAGATTTGTGTGGTAGCATGGGCAGGCCACAGAAATTTTTGGTTTTGGCATAAGCAATTATGGGCAGAAATGTGTTACCCTAAAATTCCTGTGTTGAAGTCTTAACCCCATCTACCTCAGGATGTGACTGTATTTGAAGGTAGGATCTTTAAAGAGATAATTAAGGTTAAATGAAGTCATAAGGGTGGGTTCCTAATCCAATGTGACTGGTGTCCTGATAAGAAGAGGAGATTTGGACGCAGACACACAGGGAAGACCATTTAAAGAAGCAGGGAAAAGGCAGCCATCTACAAGCCAAGGAGAGAGGCTTCAGAAGAAACCAACACTGCTGATAGTTTGGTCTTAGACTTCTAGTCTCCATAACTGTTAGGAAATAAATTTCCATTGTTTACGCCAACCAATCTGTGGTGCTTTGTTATGGAAGCCTGAACAAACAAATATATAAGCCCAGTCATTGATGACTTGATCCCCTCAGCTGAGGCAGGGAATCATAGTAAGTTCATATATGTGTATCCTTCCACCTCATTGACTCAATGAGTGAGGAGCAAAGCTGCCCAGTCTAAAGGCCTGCCTCTCAGGTAACAGAAGAGCTGGAATTTCCAAACAGAAGTCAGGCATGGGACACCAGAGTACAGTCAGGGGTTCAGAAACCTAAGGATGCAAAGTACAGGTTAAAGAGACAGCACAGTGTCAGGAGCCACAGCAGACAGAAGGGCCATAATACAGGCTGATAATAAATCTAAGCTCAAGTAAATGGCTCAAATGCCAAGATGTGAACCTGATTCAGACAGTGATTTCTGCTTTTGCAAGTGGTTTTCTTATATTCTTTCTGAATATGCATGAACAAGTTCTGAGTTGGTTAGTGTTGAGCTGGAAGAAAAAGCATGGTACAGTGAAAAAGACATTGGGCTTCCAGTAAGGAAGTCTGAACTCACATTCCTGGTTTCAAATTATTCTGGCAATTCATTGTTCTAGAATATATTAGGTATTTATTTACGGTGTGTCAAGTGCTGAGCTAGGTGCTAGGGACACAGAGGAATAAGTGATCCCGAGGGAAAGGAGAGGGAGATAAGGGAAATTGCGGCAGAGGTTAGTTACGTTAGAGCTGTAACAAAGTATGCGGTGAGGACTTTCATTTAAGTTTCATCAGAATAAACACTCTGATGACAATTCAATACTCTGGATAAGGAAGGGGCCTCAGGATAGCTGACTAGATGCATCTGGTACTTGCCTTTCCCGCAGAGAGGAATCAAAATAGCCAGTAGATAATCACACTTTGAATATATCATCTAAGAGAGAACACTGTAGTTCAACAGAGAAGTGATGGGAAGCACTGAAAGCAAGGAAGGAGAAGAAAGCCAGGAAGCCTGTTTGGCTGGAATTAGCAGAGAGTCTGGAGAGATTCCTCATTGTGGGGAAAGGGTAAGTGAGAGACCCCCAGCAGTCCACATTTCCTTTGCAGATAATCCTAGCCACAGGAAAGCACCTTGACCCTCACAGGCCCTGAGACACACACATGGATCTGCCTGGAGACTTGTGAAGGCATTGCTCCAGAGAGAGGGCTCATACTGGGTCCCACAAAACCTGAGCCCCAAGAAGCTCCAGCATGGCACCATTTTGAGAGATCAGCCCTCACCAGACAGTGTCCTTCCCTGGGGCTCAACAGCCCCTGCATCTCCACATACCTGGAGCTCTACTGATATTCCCTACTCATAGCCACCACCACCAGGATTGAGATGAGAGCCACAGTCAACGACTCCAAACACCCCAGCAAAGGGGTGGCCACAGATTTTCACTCACCCAAAGGACAAATATGACTGGGCTTTGCTTATGCCTTGGCTCTGCACTGGTGGCAATGCCCATACCCCCAGCTACCTGCCTACCTCTGTTTTCACTTAAAGTAACACTGCCCTCCCCAGTAACAGGGCCACTATACAGCTGCTGTTGCCTCTACCTGAGAATTCTTCTGGGGGCCTGTGGATCACCCACCCTTGCCAACCATAACCAGTACCTGTACACACCAACAGGGACTCTGAGGGAAGGTCTGTTTGGATCAGCTTTACCCACTCCCAGTATTCAAACACACCATCTGGGGGCTTGGCGATGGCCAAGCCCAGTTCACCACTGGGGGCACCTGAGCACTCCTCCTGGGGTCTGACATCAGGCCCATCCAACCTGCTGCTACCATCACAGCCGAAACTCAACTGCACAGGCCATATGGAGGGCTGGGGACTGACCCACCCAACACCAACACAGGCAACCACCAACCCCAACATGGACCGCTTGGATCCCAGAAGGTGCCTTACTGCTGCCACTGCCATTGCTCAGGCTGCACCTGCTGCCCAGGAGCTGGAAATCTCTCTCACCTACTTAGCCCCCTACAGCCACTCCTGGCACATGATCAAGCCATCCAGAGGCCCCCAAATCAGCCCACCTAGACTTGCTAGCACAGGTGGCAGCATATGCCACCCTGGGACCCAAGAACAGGAATGCGTAACCCACTAGTGCCACCACTGGGGCCCAAAGACTAGCCCAGCTGGTGTCCCAGTCCACAGGAAAACTTTACCACCCCCTTCATTAACAACCATGCCCTAAGCCATGAAGTAAGTCACAGACACTATTGGCAGTGTTTACAGCTGAAGAAATCATACAAAGAACACACTACTGTATGCATGTAGAATCAAAGCCAAAGTGCCCTCCCAAACCAATACCATAGATACGTGTTCAGGAAAAAGTCCTCCCATATAAAAATGAATTTTAAAAAATAGGAAGAAGTGACTGTTATACCAGATATGAATATATTAATGTAAGGACACAGGAAACATGAAACAGCAAAGAAATATATCATCTCCAAAGGAAAATAATTCTTCAGCAACAGATTCCAATCAAAAAGAAACTTACAAAACTTAAGGAAAAAATCAAAATATTCATAGTAAAGAAGCTCAGTGAGATACAAGACAATTCTGGAAAACACAAATAAATTAGAAAAACAATTCATGATATAAATGAGAAATTTACCAAATATATATACACATCAAAAATGAACCAGAAATACCAGAAGTGAAGAATTCATCTGATGAAATCCAAAATACATTTGCTTCAACAATAGACTAGTTCAAGTAGAAAAAAAATAATCTCGGAACTTGAAGACACTTCATTTTAAATAGCCCTGTAAGAAAGAAATTTAAAAAAATACAAAGTGACCAAAGCCTTCATAACATATAAAATACCATGAAGAGACCAAGCATTCAAATTTTGAAGGCAAAGAGAAAGCAAAAGGGTTAGAAAAGCTATTTAATGCAATAATAGATTTAAAAATTGCCAAGCCTAGCAAGGGATTCAGACATTCACATACAGAAGTAGATACATGTCAAAAAGATCTTCTCCACAGCACATTAGTCAAACAGTCAAAAGTCAAAGAGAAAAAAATGTATAACATTAAGAGAAAAGCGGCTGGGCACGGTGGCTCACGCCTGTAATCCCAGCACTTTGGGAGGCCAAGGCGGGTGGATCACAAGGCTAGGAGTTCAAGACCAGCCTGACCAACATGGTGAAACCCCATCTCTACTAAAAATACAAAAATTAGCTGGGCATGGTGGTGTGCGCCTCAGAAAGCTGAGGCAGGAGTAATCGCTTGAACCCAGGAGGCAGAGGTTGCAGTGAGCCGAGATTGTGCCACTGCACTCCAGCCTAGGTGACAGAGTGAGACTATGTCTTTAAAAAAAAAAAATAAAAGAGAGAGAGAGAGAGAAAAGCATCTAGTCACCTATAAAGGAAATAAAGGAATCTCCCTCAAAATAACAGAAGATTTCTCAGCAGAAACCATATAAGCCAGAAGAGAATAGTGTGATATATTCAAAGTACTGAAACAAAAAAAAAAAAAAAAAAAAAAAAAAACAGCAATCAGAGATCCTATACCCAGCAATACTATCTTTCATAAATGAAGGAAAAAGAAAGTGTTTTCCAGACAAGCAAAAGCTGAGGGAATTCATCACAGCTAGACTGATTCTACAAAAAGTGTTTAAGAGAATCTTAAAGCAAGAAATGAAAGAACAATCATGAAAATATAAAAACACTGGTACAGCAACCACTAAAAGAAGGAAGAGAAACAACTGAAATGTTACTATGACAGAATACTACCGAACCACAATGATAAACAAAAGAGAGAAAGAAAGGAAAGACGGAAATACAAAACAACCAGAAATTAATCAGTAAAATGAAAGGAATAAGCCCTCAAATAGCAATAATAACCTTGAATGTAAACAGATAAAACTTTTCTCTTAAAAGATATAGATTGGCTAAATGGATAAAAAATATGACCCAACTATATGTTGCCTACAAAAACTCATCTTACCTGTAAAGACACATACAGTCTAAAGCAATGGAAAAAGATATTCCATGCAAATAGAAACCAAAAGCAAGCAGTAGTAACTAAACTAACATTGAATGATAAAAATGAATAATAAGTCAAAAATAGTAACAAGAGACAAAAAGGTTATTATATAATGATAAATTAATTCATCAAGATGATAAAACAATGCTAAACATATATGCACCCTACACTGGAACACCCAGAAATATGAAGCAAATATTATTAGATCTAAAGAAGTGATAGACTTCAATACAATAATACTTGGGGACTTCAACACCCCACTCTCAGCATTAGGCAGATTATCCAGACAGAAAAATAGACAAAGAAAAGTTAGATTTAAACTGCACATTACATAAAACTAACTTAACAAACATTTATAGAACAGTTTATTCAACAGCTACAAAATAAGCATTTTTCTCATTAGAACATGGAAAGTTCTTCAGGATAGATCATATGTTAGGACACAAAACAAATCTCAACCAATTTTAAAAAAATGGAATCATAATGAGTATCTTCTCAGACAATAATGGAATAAAACCAAATATTAATAACAAGAGGAACTTTGAAAATTGTACACATACATGGAAAGTAAACAACATGCTCCTGAACAATCATCGGGTAAAGCAAGAAATTAAGGAGGAAATAAAAAAAAATTTTTGGAAAAAAATGAAAATAAAAACAAAACATCCCCAAATATATAGGATGTAGCAAAAGCAATGGTAAAAAGGAATTTTATAACAATAAATGCCTACATCAAAAAAGTAGAATTATTTCACATAAACAATCTATCAATACAACCCAAGGAACTAGAAAAGCAAGAGAAAACAAAACCCCAATTTAGAAGGAAAAAAATAATAAAAATCAGAGCAGAGCTAGACAAAAATAGAGATTAAGAGAATAATGCATAGGTTTCATTAAATAAAAAGTTTTTTTCAAAAAAAAATAAACAACATTGAAAAACCATTTCCTAGGCTAACCAAGATTTAAAAAAGAGAAGACCAAAAAAATAAAATCTGAAATGGAAAAGAAGACATAACAACTAATACCATGGAAATACAAAAAAATCATCAGAGTCTATAATCAGCAAGTATACACTAAGAAACTAGAACACCTGGAGAAAATAGATAAATTCTGAGGTACACACAACCTACCAAGATTGAATCAGAAAAGGATATGAAAACTGAACAGACCACTAATGAGTAATGAGATTGAATCAGTAATAAAAGGCTTCCCAACAAAGATAAGTTCAGAACCTGGTGTCTTCACTGCCAAACTCTGCCAGACATCCAAAGAAGAACTTACACCAATTCTCAAACTATTCCAGAAAACTGAAGAGGAGGAAATTCTCTCTAACTAATTTTACAAAGCCAGCAATACTCTGAATTGACAAAACAGGCAAGAACACAAAAAAGAAAACTACAAGCCAATATTCCTGATAAACATAGATGTAAAAATTCTCAACAAAAAACTAGCAAATTAACCCCAACAGCACATCAAAAAATAATATACCATAATCAAGTGAGATTTAACCCAAGGATGGAAGGAGGGTTCAACATACACAAATCAATAAACAATATATGTCACACCAAAAGAATGAAGGACATAAACTATAGGATCATCTCAATAGAAACAGAAAAAGCATTTGATAAAATTCAACATCTCTTCATAATAAAAACTCTCAACCCACTAGGCATAGAAAGAATATGCCTCAACATATTAATGACCATATGTGACAAACCTACAGCTACCATCATACTAAATAAGGAAAAGCTGAAAACCTTTTCCCTAAGAACTGAAACAAGACAAGAATGCCCATTTTCACCACTCTTATTCAGCATAGTACTGGAGGTCCTAGCCAGAGGAATTGGCAAGAGAAAAAAAAAAAAAGACATCCAAATTGGAAAAGAAGTCAAATTGTTACTCTTTGTTGATTATATGATCTTATATCTAGAAAAACCTAGAGACTGCACCAAAAAACACTTGGATCTGTTAAATAAATTAAGTTGCAGGATACAAATCAACATATGAAAATCAGCAGCACTTCTATATAGCAGCAATGAAATAGCTGAGAAAGAAATCCATTTATAATAGCTACAAAAAAGTAAAATACTTAAGAATAAATTTAACCAAGGAGGTGAAAGGTCTCTACAAGGAAAATGACAAAACACTGATAAAAGAAATTGAAGAGGACACAAACAAATGGAAAGACATCCCAAATTCATGAATCAGAAGAATTAATATGATTAAAATGACCAAAATGCCCAAGGCAATCTAAAGATTCAATGTAATTCCTATCCAAAATACTAATGTCATTTTTCACAGAAATAGAAAAAACACTCCAAAAATTTGTACAGAAACCAAAAAAAAAAAAAAAAAAAAAAAAGAGCCAGAATATCCAAAGCAATCCTGAACAAAAATATCAAAGCTGGAGGCATTATACCATCTGACTTCAAAATATATTACAAGGCTGTACTAACCAAAACAGCATGGTATTTGTAGAAAAACAGATGCATAGACCAATGGAATAGAATAGAGAACCCAGAAATAAATCCATTTATTTACAGCCAATTAATTTTCAACAAAGGCATAGAGAGCATACATTGGAGAAAGAATACTCTCTTCAATAAATGGTTCTGAGAAAATTGAGTGCCCATATGCAGAAAAATGAAACTGGACCCCTATCAAAAATACACTCAAGACAGACTAAAGACTTGAATGTAAGAACTGAAATTGTAAAACTACTAAAAGAAAACAGGGAAAACACTTCAGAACATTGGTCTAGGCAAAAATTTTATGTCTAAAACTCCAAAAGCACAAACAGCCAAGACAAAAATGGACAAATGGGACTATATTAAACTAAAAAGCTTCTACACACCAGAGGAAACAATCAATAGAGTGCAGATACAACCTGTAGAATGGGAAAAATAACTTCAAATTATTCATCTGACAAAGGACTAATATCCAGAATATACAAGGAACTCAAACTACTCAATGGTAGAAAACAACAACAACAACAACAACAAAACTCAAATAATCCTATTAAAAAGTGGGCAAAGGACATGAACGGACATTTCTCAGAAGGTATACAAATGGCCAGAAGGTATGTGAAAAAAATGTTCAGCAGTACTAACCAAGGAAATGGAAATCAAAACCACACGAAATAACATTTTATTTGAGTTAGAATGGCTATTATTAAAAAACAACAACAGTTGCTGGTGAAGATGTGGTGTAAAAGAAATTCTTGTGCACTGTTAGTAGGATTTTAAATTAGTACAGCCACTATGAAAAACAGTAGGAAATTTCTCAAAGAAAGTACAAATAGAACTACCATATGGTCCAGTAATCCCCCTACTAGGTACCTATCCAAAGACAAGAAACCAATATATCAAAGGGATACCTGTACTTGCGTGTTTATTGCAGCAGCAACCACAATAGCAAAGATATAGAATCAACCTATATAAATGTCCAACAATGGTTAAATGAATAAAGAAAATGTATGTGTGTGTGTGTATATATATATGTATATATGTATATATATGTGTGTATATATGTATGTGTGTATGTGTGTGTATATATGTATATGTGTATGTGTGTATATATGTGTGTGTATATATACGTATATATACACACACACATACATATATACACACACATACACACATACATATATATACACACACATACACACATACATATATACACACACACATACATGTATATATGCACACACACATACATATATCTATATACAAATGTGTATGTATACATACATATGTGTGTATATATACAGCTATAAAAAGAATAAAATCATGTTATTTGCAGCAATATGGATGGAACTGGATGTCATTATGTCTAATGAAATAAGCCAAACACAGAAAGACAATTTTCTCATGTTCTTACTTATATGTGGGATCTTAAAAAGTTGATTTTTGTGGGTGTAGAAAAGTAGATACCAGAGGCTGGGAACAGTGCATGGGTGGAATGAGGGAATGAAGAGTGGTCAGCCAATGGGTACAAACATGTAGTTAAATAGAAGATATAATTTCAAATGTTAGGTAGCAGAGTAGAGTAATTATACTTAGCAACAGTGCATTGTATGTTTCTAAATAGCTAAAAGAGAGGGCTTGAAATGTTCCCAATACATAGAAATGATAAATACTCAATGTGATCAACACCCCAAATACCCTGACTTGATCATTACACAGTCTGTACATGTAACAAAATATCTCATGTACCTGATAAATATATGTAAATATTATGCATCAGTAAAAGAAGTCCACAGCTATATAGAATGTACATTCTTCTAAAGCTCATGTGGAAAACTTTAAAGCTTTTACAACACCTTGGGCCAAAAGCAAGCCTAACACCTTTTAAAGTATAATAATCAGCTCTCTGCAGTAAATAAAAATTAATACAAAAAATACAGCTAACACAGCCCCATTTGTTTGTCTTTTTTGTTTTTTCATTGCTTAACTTTAATTGAAAATATAGACCTTAAAATATGGCACACTTTGTACTCTTTTGAAATTTCACTGTCAAACATGTTTTGCTTTAAGTATTGTTTTCCTGATTTTGTATAGTTGTCTGGTTGTGTTCTCTTGTAGCTCATTGAGCTTCTTTAATATAATTATTGAGAATTCTTTGTTAGGTAGTTCATCAATCTCCATTTTTTCACGGTGTGTTACTGATGATTTATTTACTTTCTTTGATGGTGTACGTTTTCCTGCTTATTCGTGATCCCTGTGGCCTTGATGTTAATTTCTCAATTTTAATTAATTTATTATGATTATGTAAGATATTAACATTAGGAGAAGTGGGTGAAGTGTATACAAAACATTTCTGAACTATGTTTGCAACTCTTTTATAATTCTAAAACTATTTCAAAATAAAATATTTTTAAAACATTGATAATACCAAGGGTTGGCAAGGATACAGAACAACTGGATCACTCATATATTGCTGGTGGGAATCAGTTTGACCCTCTGGAAATAAGTTTGACAGTTTCTCATAGAACTAATCATACACTAAGCATGCACTAATCAGGCAAATCATCACTTGCACTCATGGGCATTTACCCTAGGGAAATGAAAACTTATACATGCACAAACAAATGTATAGGAATGTTTATATAAACCTCATTAATAAGAACCAAAACTAAAAATAAAATTTAGATGTCCTTCAACAAGCAAATCATTAAATAAAAGTCCTGTCATATATCCATACCACACACTGCTAGTCAGCAATAAAAAAGAATGAATTGTTGATGCACAATTTACATGGACTTAGAGGGATTTATGCTGTGTAAAACACCAATATCCAAAGGTTACATGTCATATGTGCATTTTAATGATATGTTGATGGCATTCTGAAAAGACAAGACTAAAGCTATAGTGATAGATAACTAATCAATAGTTGTCAGGGGTTAGTGGTAGGGTGATGGGACAATTCTGTATTTTTATTGTCCTGGTGGTTATATGAATTTATACATGGGATAGAATTCATGGAACTACACACCAAAAAGTAAAATTTACTATATGATAATTCTTAAAATAAATAAATAAAATACCTACATCAAAAATTAGTGCACTTCATACTTTTACTGTATTTATATTATAAACTTATGGAAAGGTGAAATAATTTCATTCATGGTGTTGTGTGGATTAATAGCTTATTCCTTTTAATCACCGAGTAGTATTTCATTGAATGAATAAACCATAGTTTATTTATTTATTTAGCTATTGAATGATATCTTTATTGCTTCAAGTTTGGGGTAATTATAAATAAAGCTGCCCATAAACATCTTTATACAGGTTTTTGTGTAAACATAGTTTTTTTCAATTCACTTGAAAATACCTTAGAGTGGCATTATTGGATTATATGGCAAGCATATGTTTAAATTTTTAAGAAACCACCAAACCGTGGTACAAAATGACTATATCATTTTGCATTCCCACCAGCAACGAATGAGAAGTATTGTTGCTCTGAATCATTGCCAGCAATTGGTGTTGTCTTTTTAAATTTACTTTAGCCCTTCTAAATAAGCATGTAGTGATTCTTACCAAGGTTTGATTTGCATCTATCTCTCTAATGGCTAGTGATGTTGAACATCTTTTCATGCACATATTTGTTTATATCTTCTTTGGTGAAGTTTTAGTTTGAGTTTGTTGCTCTTTTTAATATTGGGCTATTGTTTTCTTACTATGGAGTTTTGAGAGATTTTATATATTCTAGATACAAGCCATTTGTCAGATATGTGGTTTACAAATATTTTCTCTTAATCTGTGATTTGTCTTTTTATTTATTTGACAATGTCTTTAACAGAACAACATTTTAAAAACTTTTTTAAGGACTCATTTATCTTCTTTTGCAGAATTATGCTTTGGATGCCACATCTGAGAACCTATATCCTAACCCCATGTCATGATGATTTTCTCCTATCTTATCTACTTAATATCTTACAATTGTATGTCTTACATTTAAATCTATCATCCATTTTGAGTTAATTTTATATAAGGTGTGAAGTTTAGATAAAGAGTCATTTTGTTGTTGTTGTTGTTGTTTAGGGATATCCAATTGTTCCAGCGTCATTAGTTGAAGACTATTCTTTCTCCATTGAATTCTTTTTGTACCTTGTTAAAAGTCAATTGGTAATAGTTGTTTGGGTCTATTTCTGGGTTTCTTATTCTGTTCCATTCATCTGTGTGTTTAGCCCTCAGCCAACAGTAAACTGTCTCAAATACTGTAGCATTATAATAAGTCTTAAAATCAGGCAAAATAATTTTTCCAAGTTTAGTCTTCTTTAAGTTTTTTTTTTCTATTCTAATTCCTTTACCTTTCAATATATATTTTAGAACCAAACTGTCTATATCTGCAAAATGATCCTGCTAGGATTTTGATAGGGATTGTGTTAAACCTGTATATCAATTTGGGGAGCATTGACATATTTGCTATGTAGAATCTTTTTATCCATGAACATAGTATGTCCCTCCATTTATTTAGGTCCTTGATTTCTTTCATCATCATTTTGTGGCTTTCAGATTACAGATCCTGTGCATTTTTCAATTGTTTTTCTGTAGAAGTGGGGTCTCACTATGTTGCACAGTCTGGTCTCAAACTCTGGCCTCCAGCAATCCTCCCACCTTGAACAGACAAAGTGCTGAGATTACAGGCAGGAGCCATGATTCCAGGCCTTTGTGTATTCTTTAAATCAAATGTATACCTAAGTATGAAAAAGAGCAGGATAATGGAGGCAGGGATTGTAATTTCAAGTAGGGTAGTCAAGGTGATAGTTGAGAAAAGACCTAAAAGACATGAGGGGATTAGTCATGCTAATATCTTGGAGAAGATAATTTCCAGTACTGCCAAAGCTCTACCAGTGAAAAGCGTTTAATGCAGGAGCATTCTAGGCATAGGAAGAGGAAGGAGGCTAGTTGACTGGTGTAGGGCAAATGAAGGGGAGAGTAATAGGAGAGGAGTAAGAAAGACAGAATAGATGGACAAGGCTGTATAGGACCTTGTAGATCAGGCCTTACACAAGACTTTGGCTTTTATCCTGAGTGAAATGGTGAGCTACTAGAGGAAAGTGTACAGAGAAGGGCCATCATCTTGTTTTGATTTTAAGAGAACCCCTCTGGCAGCTATGTTAAGAACAGACTATGAGTGATCAAAGATAGAAGAAGCTAGTCCAGCTTAGTTGACTATGGAGTAAACCAGAAGTGGTTGTATTCTTAAGAATTTGTTCATTCAACAAATAAGCATTGAGCAATGGTGGAGGTTGTGGGAAGTTATCAATGATGCCACCAAAATCTCAGGCAGTTATCTGGAAAGTGACAACTGTGAAACCAAATTTGGAAAAGAAAAGTACATTACAACAGCATGTATAAACCATCTAATTATGCGTGTTAAAATCTAATTAGTATTCAGTTTATAACACCTAAGGTGCAAACAGCAGTGTGTGGGAAGGCTAGGATGCTGTTGGACCTATCCTCTTTGCATGGATGAACACTCTTATTGTCTACAATAAGTCTCCACATAAACATGTATGGCATATCTACCAGCTTTGAAAAAGTTATAAGAACTCAGTATTAGGCATTGGGGAATTTGATACAGCTGAAATAGTACTGCATGGTAGGTTTATTCCTTAAGGAACCCAAAACTTGAATTAAACTGTCAGTCTTGTTGACTGGGAAAGAGAAGCAGATTTTTACTTAGTGTTGTTTCTTCTGCTTAGCCAATAATATGTGATCCCAAATCACACTTCTAGCTTTTGATGTGTACATTCATAAGTGTTTGTCATGGGGCCTGATATAATTAAATGGATTTTCAAGTGTTTTTCGAGGTACATTGCCCTCCATCCTCAGAGTACTATGGCCATTATGCTGTAGATCTTCATTAGGCAAAAGCTTATAAATGTTCAGTGGCTTCATAAGGATGGATTAAAAATTAACTCAGGGTTTTTAATGTTGAAACTTATGAGCTGTTATTTTATTAGGGCATATTTTATTCCTCCTACTGCGCATATCTACAAATAGCATATACCCTCAGTATAATCCCAGTACTAGTAATAGACTGTTCACTTGTTTTAAAAAGTAATTTAGACTGGAATGAGTAACTATGCCCTAATTTATATAAAGCAGGTTGAAGTTACTTCTTTGATTAGTTTATCATTTTTTGGCATGGGATTATCCATAATGGGAGTTACAACCTAATGGAAGCCTCCTGAAATAAATAGTAAATATAGATCTTCTAGCTTGTTATAAAGTCATTGGGTAATATAATCTTAGAGGTAGAAGGATCCCTATCTTCTAAAGGAGGAAATTCTCTCCCCCGTCTCCCTAAGAATTGGTTATCGAGCCTCTGCTCAGACAGTTTCATCAATGGGGAGTTCCTTCATTTTGGAACAATCCAGTTTTATCAAATCTGTCTCTCCAGCCCTTCTACCTACTGGTCCCACTGGAATAAATCAGAACTGGTCTACTCCTTCTTCCACTTGAGAACCCTTCAAATACTTGTATCCCACTGTCCCTGTCCCTGTCCCCTATACCTTTCCCTGGTCTGGTTTTCTTCCTCTGGATGTCCATATTCTTCCTCACTATTGACATCCTTGGTTCTGATTACCAAACACTTTGGCACCCCAGCTGGGCCTTTCCTGGAGTCTCTTGAGATTTCTGTCTCAGCTTGTCATTTACTTTAATAAGAAAAAGAATTCACAATGTTTCTGGGTCTGAAAAGGAGTGCTAGAAGGGGAGAGAGCCCAACCATCTGGATGCCAGACTCTCTCAGAGTCATACAGGACACTCTTCAAGTGTGGTAAGGAGGCCAAAGAATGCAAACATCATAAAATTTGGGGGTCGTGCTACACAGTCCTGTTCCCTAAGTATAATCAGCCAAAAGTATTTGTTGGGTTCTACTGAAACCTTGCTATTCATTCTGTCTCCCAATAATTTAACTGATTAGTTGCTAGCAGGTACATTGGATAGTAGTGAATTAAACCACTAAATGCCCCCGTTTGATTAGTAAGGTGATATAACTGGCTCACAAATAGAATAAGGTTACTTTGGATTTCTCAGGGACCTAACTAGGTCAATTAATCAACTATTTGATCTACTGTTCAATGGCTGACCACCAGAAGCAAATGCTAATTTGCCTGGATTGGGATCACTAATATTACCTAATATTGGCTGGGCATGGTGGCTCATGCCTGTAATCCCAGCACTTTGGGAGGCCGAGGCAGGTGGATCACCTGAGGTCAGGAGTTTGAGACAAGCCTGATCCACACAGTGAAATCCCATCTCTACTAAAAATACAAAAATTAGCCGGGTATGGTGGCAGGCGCCTGTAGTCGCAGCTACTTGGGAGGCTGAGACAGGAGAATTGCTTGAGCCCAGGAGCCGGAGGTTGCAGTGAGCTGAGATCACACCACTGCACTCCAGCCTGGACGACAGAGAGAGACTCTGTCTCAAAAATAATAGTAATAGTAATAATAATACCTGATACTTATTTATTGCTTATTATATGTAAGACAGTGTGTTAAGCATTATGTAATTTAATCCTCATAATAACTTCATTAGGGAAGTTTCATTATCCACATTTTACAGATGAAAAACTGAACATCCAATAGAGCTCAAGTGACTTGCCCTGGGTTACACAGCCAGTAAATAGTGGAGATGCGATTCAAATACAAATCTGTCTCACTGCAAAAGCCCAAGCTCTTGGTCATAATATTATTGGTCTAAAGCTCTGTAGTTGTAACATCAGGCTTAGTGCTCGTCATGCAAGTTTAGAGAATGAAGATATGCTCCATGTGGTGAGGTTAGAAGTTGAAGAGTTCTGGTAGGTAAGTAGGCCATTTCAGCAGAGATGCTATTCATCTATTATTATTTATCCCTCCGTATTTATGCTCAATATCATTATCCAGGAGTGGCCAAGGCCTCCTTTCCAATCCCTCCCCCTAATTCCTGAACCTCATCCTTCACAGCAAAAGAGTTATCTCTGGATTCCAAGCTGTCAAATATCTGATAGGATAAACAAATTCATCTCAATATGTGAATAAAACGAGACTAGAGCACCTATGCCCCAGACTATTCCTTTATCTCTCTAGTATTATAACACGTTCTCATTTAATGGAAGACTTCTGTATGCATTCTTCTGCATTAGCTGTCAAACCTTGAAGAATCACTGAAATAATGGAGGTTTCAGAGAAACTCCTAGATAAGCAGGTGGAAGACACATGTTGGATAAGGTATAACCTTGGCGAACTTCATTGATTGCAGCTCTCTGCAGAGTTAATTCTATAGATGCATTATGAAGGCCGCCAGTTAAGAATTCAAATATTACATTTGCTTTGCATAAGAACGTACACTTCATAGGCAGAGTGGGGGCAATGTTTTCATCTGCAGTAAAACCCCTGATTAAGCCACGTAATTAGGTTAATCAGGTGCTTTGATTTCCTAACACAAAAAGTTTTGCTGAATAGTAATACTAGATTCTTGACAGCAATGTCAAAGATAAGCTGGTGTATGTGTGTGTGTGTGTGTGTGTTTAAATGCATTTCAGATAAGATAATCAGATTACTGTCACAAAATTCTACAGTCTCTTGGCTGTAAAGTGACATACTAAATATTGCTTTCTAATTTTCCGTTGTAATGCATGAAAGAGATAAGCACATACTTTTATCAATAGCAATGAAAAATGCAAATCTATTGGAATAATAAGAAGATCTACTTAATGTTAATTAAGAGATAACTTTTTAAAGGAAATAATTTGCTGTTTGGAACTCTTTGATATCAAGGATCTGCTTCAGAAGGTTAAAGGTTAATTTTTGCAATTGATCCCATGTAGAGAACTGTCTTCCAGGAATTGTTCTCATATTGTTCCAAAGTGAGCACAGAGGGAAATGTAGAAGCCAGGAATCAAAAGAAACCAAGCAATGTGAAAATGATAAATCAGTGGGGCAGATGGAATTAATTTAGCAAATAGCAAATATGTTAGCTTGAGTGTCCATTTTGCACAGTGGATATCTATAGATAGCTTATTATGAATAAACAATACACCATAATGAAAGTTTCACCATAGTGTTTTTGAAAAATGGTGTAGTTACTCATTTGGAAGTATCCATCCAGAATGGATTATTATTAGTACTCAATTCTGAGACAGAAGAACTGAAAAGTTTGTTCCTTGGAGGAGTAACTTTATTCCAAGGTAACCCAAAGTAATACTGTCTTTATTAGTTTCCTGGGACTATCATAACAAATGACCACAAATTTGGTGGCTTACAACAACAGGAATGTATTGTCACATTGTTCCAGAGGCTAGAAGTCTGGACTGAAAATGTTGGCAGGACCATGCTCTCTCTAAAAGCTCTGGTGGTCTATCCTTCATTATTTCTTACAGCTTCTGGTGGTTGCCAGCAATCCTTGGCATTCCTTGGCTTGTAGAAGCATCATTCCAATCACTAATCCAACTGTATTAGTCCATTTACATACTGCTGATAAAGACATACCCAAGGCTGTGCAATTTACAAAAGAAAGAGGTTTATTGGACTTACAGTTCCACATGGCTGGGGAGGCCTCACAATCATGGTGGAGGGCAAGGAGGAGCAAGTCACATCTTACATGGATGGCAGCAGGCAAAGAGAGGAGCTTCTGCAGGGAAACTCCCATTTTTAAAACCATCAGATTTCTTGAGGCCCATTCACTGTCATGAGAACAGCACAGGTAAGACCCACCCCCATGATTCAGTCATCTCCAACCAGGTCCCTCCCACAACACGTGGGAATTATGGGAGCTACAAGATAAGATTTGGGTGGAGACACAGAGCCAAACCATATCACCAGCCTAATCCAGTATGACATCATCTTAACTTGATTACACCTGCAATGATCCTGCTTGCAAATAAGGTTACATTCACATGTATCTTTATTAAGACTTTAACATACCTTTATGGAGGACACAATTCAATTCATAAGAGTGTCCTATAAAAAGCAATAAATTTTTAAAAATCTCTTGATTAAAGGAAGAGATTCCAACCAACTACACTTCAACGATGCTACATCTTTAGTACCGAGTTTAGAAACTTGAATGAGAAACTAACAATGGACAAAATAAAAAACTCAAATACTCTTTTTAATTCTGGGTATTAGTCTGTTCTCACACTGCCAATAAAAACATACCCAAGACTGGGAAATTTATAAAGGAAAGAGGTTTAATTGACTCACATTTCAGCATGGCTGGGTAGACCTCAGGAAACTTACAATCATGGCAAAAGGGGAAGCAAACCTGTCCTTCTTCACATGGTGACAGGAAGGATAAGTGCTAAGCAAAGAAGGAAAAGCCCCTTATAAAGCCATCAGATCTCATGAGAACTCACTCACTATCATAAGAACAGAAGCATGGAGGTAACTGCCCCCATGATTCAATTACCTCCCACTAGGTCCCTCCCATGACATGTGGGGATTATGGGAACTTGCAATTCAATATGGGATTTAGGTGAGGACACAGCTGATACGGTTTGGCTGTATCCCCACCCAAATCTCACCTTGAATTGTAATAATCTTCTTGTGTCAAGGGTGGGGCCAGGTGAAGTTAATTGAATCATGGGGGCAGTTTCCCCCACATTGTTCCCATGGCAGTGAATAAGTCTCATGAGATCTGATGGTTTTGTAAATGGGAGTTCCCCTGCACAAGCTCTCTTGCCTGCTGCCATGTAAGACATCCCTTTGCCCTTCCATCATCTTCCACCATGACTGTGAGGCCTCCCCAGCCATGTAGAACTGTGAGTCTATTAAACCTCTTTCCTTTATAAATTACCCAGTCTTTAGTATATATTTATTAGCAGCGTGAGAACAGCCTAATACAATATCCAAACCATATCATTCTGGGAAGCCCTTTTCCTATCTACCACCTCTGCTTCCCAATATATCCCCAGAGTTAGTGGGGAGGGTGGGTGATATCTTCAAAGTGACCATACATCCCATCCCTGAGCTTCATCTGAACCCCATTTCTCACATCATTCTTGATTAAGAGCACAGGCTCTAGAATCTTATTATTTACATTCAAATTTCAGTTACCCACCCCCCCCCGCCCCGCCACCCGACCCACCGGACCGTAACTTGCCAACTGGCTCCATCCCTCAGTACCAACTAACACACAAATTGAAGGAGCTGTAACCATTTCTTTAGCTGAGTTTCTTACAGTGAAGTTGCTTAGTGAATTCCATCATTTGATGGCAGACTCCCTGCCACAACCCTATTAACTTTGAAAATCTTTTTTTAATGTTTTCATTAAAAGAAAAATATCCTTCTCAATGCATTACATTATTTTATTCATACATAACTAGATATCTAGCTCTTCATTTTGAACCTAATGCTCATCGTGGGATTTGCTCCTTTGACCTTTATGATCTTGTGGAAATCAGCATAAAATATGTTCTGGGAATTCTTTTTCTAAATATTATTTTTGACAAGTGCTGGATGTTTTAACTGATCTTTGACTTAAACCCTGGCAGTTTTATCTTTTATGTCTTCCTTTGCTCTTGTGGATGGGTTAGGGTGGTTTTTCTGAAAAGAATGTCAAAACACAGCAAACGGTTTAGAATAACTCTGTTTATAACCCTTGGTGAGAGGGGAAAGGTCTTGGGAGAGAATTAATAATGTCCTATTGCTGCTCGCAAAGGACATCAAACAAATTGGTAGTGATCTTGTTTTTCCTGCAAGATAGTACTGAAATTCATAAGGATGAACTAAAGCTGAAGAGCCTAAAGCCTGGACCAGATGAAAGGGCTATTCTGTGCAGGTCTGGGTTGTTCATTAGCGCAAGATGAGAATTCAAAGACAAGATGGCTGGTCAGTAAACTCACAGGAGAAATGTATTTATGGATGGAATGAGGGTGTAAGAATTTATAGTCAGAAGCAGTATATGTTTGCTTTTGTCTATATTGTAAAATTATTCTGAACAATTTTGAAAATCACTTGCTTCCATCTGCTTCTCAAGGGAATTCTGCCAGGCTACAAGATTTCTCTCTTTCTTCTCCCAGGTCACTGGGCATCAATGGGACAAATAATCACTCCATGGCATTAGCATGTATATCAAGAAAGAGAAAGTCACTCTTTAATAAAGCTAGAACACACCAATATTTTCTCAGGAGAAATTGCAATTTTCATTTTTAATCTGCCTTGATAAAGTTGTACAAGATTCAGGACTTTCATTTTTCTCAGGTAAGTAAGGCTCCTTAACTATTATTTCTAGGGCTTTGGTGGAGCCCTTCACCTCTTGGCCTCCCAAAGAACCCAAGCTACACCCAGGCAATCATATATCACTTATAAAACACAACATGCAATGAAGGCTTAACTTCTAGGGCAGGAAGTGGCATGAATATACCTGCAGTTTGATGCAAGTATTCTAGGAGGAAAACAGTTCTCATTTACAACCAAAACGTGCACCCAGGAAGGGACAAATTTTCAGAGCCCCAGATAAGGAGGCAAGTGGCCAGGGTTCCTGACCCAGCTGTCCCACAAACTCTCTATATGACCATGAGCAGGCAGCCTGCAATTTCCCCATCTCTAATATGAACAGGTTTGACTAAGTGAAATCTAAGGAGCTTTTCTGCGCTAAAGTTGAGGTGCTTCCCTACACACTATGCAGCTGTGTCCCAGTGTGGCTTTTGGGATCCATTTCTGTGTCCAGGCTCTTTCCATACTTCTGCACTATACATTTCTATTTACTCCCTTCCTCTGCACCTTACTCATCATTTTTCTTTTTCTCTTTGTTTCTCTAACCCCATTTCTTCCCTTTCCCCTCACCCTACATTAGGATTAAGTAAATTCCCTTTGGGATCTTTTTAATGTTCAAGTGGCATTTAGATGTTAACAAAGCTACCAACCTCTGCTCTCTTAACAAACCAGGCTTTTTTATTTTAAATCAAATTTCAAAATATATGCAAGAAGCTCTTAATACCCACAGGTTATGATGAGGCGTTCTAGAGATCCTGCAGTAATGCTGTTTCCATCTGGCACTCAGGGACTCTTTCACCAGGCTGCTGACATCTTGTCTGCATTCAGCAGTTCCCCTAACCTCACTGTTCCCCCTACCCCAAGGAGTTTCCCAGGGCTAGAGAGACAAGCTGATTGTATGTGGCCCTTCTGGAAACCAAGATGCTCTAACTTGAAGAGAGTACAGCTGTTAGTTACTTGGCCAGGACCCACTCAAACAGTCATGGTGGACCTCTCCACAAGGTGGCCATTCTAGCCTTGTGTGGCCACTGTTTGAACAACTTGCAATGCTCCATCTCTCATGTACATGTGGAGTAAATCACATTCTTATTTGTTTTATAATTTGCACAGAAGATATCTGCAGCCCTTTAGGTCCTCCACAATCACAAAATATTCCTTTGCCTCTGATCTGGGACATTGGGAAATTAATATAAGCTAACGTCTATTTGCCAAGCGCTCAGTCCCTCCTCACCATGACTCCATGGGGTAGATGCTATTATTAACATCCCTATTCTGCAGCTGAGGAAATTGAGGCATGGAGATGTTATGCAATTTGCCAGAACATATACAGTTAAGCAAGGAGCTGAGCTGAGTATCAAACCAAGGTAGCCTGGATGAAAGCATAGGTACTTAACCACTATACCATGTTCACGTTTTCTTTTCCCCAGTTCCACAGCCAGTCAGTGGTGGGACTAGAAAAAGAATCCATGTCTGTCTGGGGATAGAGCCCACATCCTCAGCCAGTATGTCCTGTGGAGGCATGGTGGGGTTATGAAGCAGGCTGACCATGATGTGCCTTCTTTCTTGTGATTCTGATGCTGTAATAATTGAAGTGGGGCAGGAGAAACACAACCAACAGTTGTAGATATTCAGGCTTTGGGGTATCACTTTGTAAAGGAGAAACCTGAAACTAAATGCGTACCATGAGAATTACAGAACTACCAAACTAAAATGGCAGGGAAATTGTAATATCTAAAATCAGCTTGAGGCAGAATCTAATAAAGAGGGGTGGGGGTTCAGTAACTTTTTGCATTCACACAATAAACTAATAAACTTGGCAATTGTCATAATATTTGGTTTCATCGAGAACAGAGCCTGTTTGCAACAGGGAATAACTTAATCTGTTAATTAAATACAAAATTCGGTTCTCATAAAAACATAATAATTAACCTTTTCTTACTTTAGGATAGCTGCATCAGCAGATACTGGAATTTCTCAAGAAAGGAAATAAGGGGGTACTTATGTCTGTAATGCTCACTATTGCTTTGCTGCTGTAGATTTGCAAGTTCAGCACTCAGGAGACTTTTTTTTTAACTTTTAGATGTTTTTTATTTATTACAATTAGTGTATGCTACTATCTGGCAACAGTAGATGACTCAGTTAAATTCATGTTACTTTGGATATATACCCAGTAATGGGATATACCCAAAGGATTATAAATTATGCTGCTATAAAGACATATGCACACATATGTTTATTGTGGCACTATTCACAATAGCAAAGACTTGGAACCAACCCAAATGTCCAACAACGATAGAGTGGATTAAGAAAATGTGGCACGTATACACCATGGAATACTATGCAGCCATCAAAAATGATGAGTTCATGTCCTTTGTAGGGACATGGATGAAACTGGAAAACATCATTCTCAGCAAACTGTTGCAAGGACAAAAAACCGAACACCGCATGTTCTCACTCATAGGTGGGAATTGAACAATGAGAACACATGGACACAGGAAGGGGAACATCACACACCAGGGACTGTTGTGGAGGGGGGAGGGGGGAGGGATAGCATTAGGAGATATACCTAATGCTAAATGACGAGTTAATGGGTGCAGCACACCAACATGGCACATGTGTACATATGTAACAAACCTGCACGTTGTGCACATGTACCCTAGAACTTAAAAGTATAATAATAATAAAAATTAAAAAAAAAATTCATGTTACTTGAGCTACAAAAGATTCCTAGAGGAGTGTCCTGCTGTGAATTTCTACTTCTTTAAACCCAACTAACCCCTCCACCCCCAAAATTCATTTTTAACACTTTAAGAAGCAAATTAATTGATCATTAATTGATATGGTAGATAATTAAATAGAACAAGATTGAAGGGATTAACGCTTGAATATAGGGCCAATCACAAACGTCTGTGCAAGTAGGATGGTGCAATAGTTAAGCACCCAGGTATTCCAATAGACCAGGCTTGATAACCCAGCTCTTCCACTTATTGAGCTGCAGAATCATAGGTCAGTTACCTAACATCTCAAAGGCTCCTTTCCTTGTTTGGGGTTAATGATAGGTTCCTATTTCATAGTGCCACTGATGTAAAGATTAAGCAAGACAGCAAGACTGAAGAGCTTGGCCCAGAGCCATCTACATTCTCCCTTTGATAAGCTAGGCTGTACTAATCCTGTGGTTTTCCAGAAGAGCCAGGCTCTCTCTGGTCTCTTTTAAGGGCTTATAGTCCCCTTCACTTGGCCAGAAACACAACCTGCCATGTCCATTGCCTTCTCTTGGCTCCCTCCTGCATGTCTTCCAGGCATGTATTCAGATGTGACTTTCCTTAAGAAGTCTTTCTTATTGTTAATTGTGTTAAGTGTGATAACAGTTATGTTGAAAACAAGTTTTTAAATTTAAAGATGTGCAGGAAAGTATGTATGGATGAAATGAAATAACGTCCGATTTGCTTTGAAATAATACTTCAGGAGAAAATGGGAAGAAGAAAGTACATGAAATGAGGTTGGCAAGATGCTGGTAACTATTAAAGCTGGGATATGGGTACACAGGGGTTTAATATAGAATTCTCTTTACTTTAGGGTATATTTATATACAGATCCCCAGTAATGACTGTAGCCTCCAAAACTATCATTATCTGAATAAATGTAAAGATGTTTTTGAGTATATATTTAAGATATATTTAAAAAAATCTTCCTTAAATACCCTATTCAGCTTATTTAGGTGTCCCTCCTAGATAATCCTTAACAGCAGTATTATATCATCCCATTAGTGCTACCTAATTATCTGTTCCCTGGATGGTCCCCACTATTAGACCATGAAATCCTTGAAGGTAAGAATCAGTGTATTATTCATTTATGTATCACCACACCTGAAGCAAAACATATAAATGTAAGATGAACACTATGAAAAAAATATTCATTGAGTTAAATAAACATTTTATTTAGAATGCCTCTTTCATGCTTTGAAGGCTTGTTCTCCAAGGAGCTTGTTATCAGGACCTTCCTAAAGGAGTCTTAGGTGCTGAGAGTTCTGTCCTATATCAGGCACTGGCTCTTGGAACTAATTAAAGAGAAAAGCCATTGTAACACATCCTTATGCTAACAGTCAAAAACTCTCTGTCACTAATTGTCTTTAGTTAGAAAGAGGTGAATTTCCACTTTGTCCAAAGAATGCAACATTCACTTTCTCCCAACAGCTTTAAGCTGTAACTTTGACTTAACAAATGTGTGCATAACACTTCCTTAACTGTTCCCCAGTAATGCCGGTAGCCTCCAAAACTATCATGATCTAAATAAATATAAAGATGTTTTTGAGGGTATATTTAAGATATATTTATGATAGCATTGATGGTACTGCTCCTGCCTCCAAAACATTTACTTTCCTGTCACTTTTACATTGTGTATACAGGTAAGAACATATTTTTAGAAAATATGGTATGTTTCTGAAGATCAAAATATGATGTTAGCATACATCCCACTTAATTGTCAAAGCTTAATAACATGGCAGGGGTGATGGGAGTTTGGGGAGATGTTGGTTAAATGATACAACATTTTAGTTAAATAGGAGGAATAAGTTCAAGGGATCTATTGTACAACATGGTGACTATAGTTAATAACAACGTATTGTCTTTTAAAAATTGCTATGAGAGTAGATTTTAACTATTCTTACCACAAAAAATAAATATGTGAAGTAATACATGTGTTAACTAGCTTATTTTGGGTATTCCATAGTGTATGCATATTTCAAAACAACATGTTGTGCACAATAAATATACACAATTTGTATTTGTCAATTAAAATAAACAAATGTATGTGTTAAAAAACAAAAAAACAAAAAAAAACCCCGTAGCACTATTCAGCCTATCTTGAAGCACTGGGGCCATTCATCGTTAAGTAATTAGAGGCAAGTTAGTCACCCATTCAATAAATATCTGTTAGGATCTTTTCATACATGCCAAACCATCTTTTAGGCACTGGGAATACATTGAAGAACAAACCACATAAACACTCCTGCCATCATGGAGTTTACATTTTAGAGAATTCCACTAGTCCCATGTTAGAGATGCAAACAACTAGCGTAGGCAGTTCTCACTGGGAGCTATTCACTGAGGAGCTTGTTGCACTACACTCCTTCCATCTCATCTACTAGTCAAGGACCTTGTCCTAATCATTCTCCTATCTGTCTCCTGAGTCATCAATGTTATTTTCTCTACTAGATCATTTTCACAAATGTATACACATAATGTATCCCAATCAAGAAAAAATGCTCTTGACCCCACATTTCTCTCTAGTTACCACTCTACTTCTTTGCCCCTTTATAGAGTAAAAACTCCTTTAAAAAATTGCCTGTATTGATTTTCTTTACTTTGTCTCCCCCTAAATGGTCATTTTATCTCCTTTCATTCTCTCTGGAACCTGTTCATATCAAACATTCCCTTCCACCAGTATGGCTTTTGTCAAAGTTACCTATGACCTCTACTTTGTTAAACCTGATGATTGACTCCTAGTACTTATGTTGCCTAACCTGTCAGAAGCATTTATCTCAGTTGATCAATTTCTTCTCTTTGAAAAACGTCTGGGACAGCACATTCTCCTGAGCTTCCTCTTCCCTCACAAGCCATTCCTTCTCAATCTCCTTTGCTGGTTTTCCCTCTTTCTTCCACCTTTTATCTTTACTCCGTCTACACTCACCCCTATGTTGCTATTGCCAAATTTCCTGGCTTTACTGTCTATATGCCAATCACTGCCAAATGTCTATCCCCAGCCCAGATTTCTTCCCTGAACTCTAGGCTCCTACATCCACCTGCCTACTCAACATCCCTACTTGGCGTCTTAAAGTTCACATAACCCAAACTGATCTCCTCATTCTTCAGTCCCCAAATATGCTCCTTCTAGAGGGTTCTCTAGATCAGTAAATGGCAACTCTAACCTCCCATTTTCCCGGTCAAAAAATCTCAAGCCATGCTTCACTACTCTCTCTTTTTTTTCACCCTACATGCTATCCTCTAGCAAGTCCTTTCAGCTTTACCTTCAAAATTTATCCAGAACAGAATAATTTCTCCTAACATCTACTGATCCCATCTTGGTTCAAGCCACCATCATTTCTTGATTGAATGTTCTCTACAGTAGCCTCCTATGTGATTTCTCTACCTCTACTCTTGCCCTCTACAGTCTATTTTCTTCACAGCAGACTGAGTAATTATGTTAGAATACAAGTCAGCTCCTGTCATTGTCCTCTTTAGAGCTTTCCAATAGCTTTCTATTTATTTTCGTGTAAAAGTCAAATTTCTACAGCCACCTATAAGACCCCCTAAACTTATTCCTTTTGCCTGAAATAGTCTTCTCACAGATATCCACATGGCTTGCTCTTGCCCCTCCTTCGGCTCCTTGCTCAAATATCACCTTCTCAGTAAGACCTTCCCCAACTGCCCTATTCTCCACACCCTACCTCTCACCTATTTTGTTTTTATCCATAGAACTTTGTCATCATTTAACATACTGTGTATTTTACTTTCTTGTTTATTGTCTACCCCTCTGCTGCTCACCCAGAGAATACAAACACTAAAGAGAATCAGGGATTGTTGTCTGTTTTATTCATTGTTGAATACCTAGTATATAAAAAAGATTGTTGTCTGTTTTATTCATTGTTGAATACCTAGTATATAAAACAATCCTGGACACATGGTAGGCACTCAGTAATATTGTTGACTACTTGAATGAATGAATAAATGAAAATTTATTCTTATACAGGTATAGGAGACACACTAAACAACAAGACATGGTCCTTGCCCCAAAAAGTCCATGGTGGAAAGTAGAGAAATATAAAAGTTAACAGAATTTCTATTCAATATGTTGATTGCAGTCCTAGGTATGAATGTCAAGAAGGCTATGGGAACACATGGTAGATAATAAATGCTTACCACAGTTTTAATGAATGATTTCCAGTTAGTTTTACTAAGAAGAGAAACACTTCTCTTGAGACACTGACAGTCTCCTAATGACTCCTGTCCTTTACAATCCCTGAGGAAGGACTGGAAACTAAAGAGAAACTGTTGATATTACAGTGTCTAGCTTTACCATTGGAAATGTAAAGCATTGATCTTTGCTATTTGTTAAAATCACAAAGTAAAAACGGTGTTAAACTGAAAGCAAACGGCAAAAATGTGCCAGGATAGGTAGTACCCAAGAGGATTCCGATGAGACTTATTACTCTGCATTAAGATGTAAATTGCATAGTCCTTTGAGTCAATATTTGCCGATTGTATATTTCCTTTAGCCAAAGGTGAGTCAGTTTGAGGAGTAAAAATAAAATAACAAAAGCATGAATTGCTGAAATGAACCTTCGCCCTGCTGCTAAAACTTTGCACTGACACTGTGTCTGACAACAAAGCAATAGATTGGGAAATGAAAAAGTGAGTCAACCAATTGTTCTGCCCACATGACATAAATGCTTTGACTTCTTTACCCACTGAATTGATAGTGTGTATGTGTGGTTTGAAGAGTAGAAAATGGGGCAGTGGAGGGGAGGGTATTTTGAAAAGCAGTTGGTTCCACATCATTCTCTTTCTCATAATCTGACTTTTCCTGGGTGGTGAATGATTGAGAGTCAGCATAAACTGTTCCGCAGCTATCCCAAACATAGTTTGCATACTGTGGTTCCAAATACTCCTGTTTCATTTTTCTTCACATCCAGGGAATAGTACATTTTGATCTGTACTAGAAGCAGACAAAGTCATCATAGGGGCCATTAGTAATTGGTACTATGGAGTAGGTATGCTCACTCAACTAAGTGGAGTGCAGAGAATGAGAAAACCAGATCAAGGCTGGGCTCTTTGGAATCCCTACTTTGAAGGAGCCCATGAAAGAGAGAATGTAAGGGTGGTGGTCAGAGAAGTTGGAATAGTGGTCCATTTCAGTAGTGAAGGAAAGAAAGGATTTATGATAGAGGTCTGCAATGTCACATGCCTCTGAGAGGTCAAATCAGATGAGAACTAACCACAAGGTGGAAGCAACCTAAATGCCCATCAACTGATGAATGGATAAGCAAAGTGTGGTAAATCCATATAATGCAATATTATTCAACCTTCAAAAGGAATAAAGTACTGATACGTGCGACAACATGGATAAAAAGTATGCTAAATAAAGGAAGCCAGTTACAAAAGACCACACATTGTATAATCCCACTTTGATGAGATGTCTAGAAAAAGCAAATCCATAGAGACGGAAAGCAGATTAATAATTGCTAGGGGCTGAGGGGATTGAGGGGAAATGGGGAGAGACCCTGATTAATGAGAACAGGGTCTCCTTTTGGGGTGATGGCAATATTTTAGGACTAGAGGTGATCATTGCACAACAAGTGAATGTACTAAATGTCATTGAATTATACACTTTAAAATGTTAATTTTATGTTAATGTGAATTTTACCTCGATAAAAAAAGACAAGGACTGAGCATGACCCTTGGGTTAAGAGGTCATTAAGATTTCCATAAGAGCAGTGTCAGTGGTGCAGTGAGGAAGAAGTCAGACTCTAGTCAGTTGAGTAATGACTGGATATTGAGAAAGGGGATGCAAGGAGTATACAGAAATCTTTCCAGAAGTAGAAAGATAAAGTTAGAGTTGGAGGGTTAAAGGAGGATATTGTTTATTCACTCAACAATGCAGGAGACTTAGGCCGTTGTATTTACTAAGGAGAGGCAACTAGTGGAGAGAAAGGGGCTGAGAATACAGGAGAGACAAATAGAGTGAGTTTTCTACAGAGGCAATTGGGATGGGAGCCAGAGGTAAAGAGGTTCACTTTAAATAAAAGATGGAACTATGCATCCTATGGGAGGCAGGCAAAAGTGATGCTAAGGCAGATGAGGGTATATAGAGGAAGTTGAAGATTTTCCAATCTATTCACATTCTCTCTATGAGATCGGAAGCAAAGGCAATATATAGAGGAATGATTAAAACTGGCTAGTTGAAATAGCCCCCGTGTGATTACCGGAAATTGACTGACTTTTCCTTTCCTATAGCCCTTAATGAGGGAACAAAGACTGTTCTCAAGAGTCTTTCATTTTAATTTATTTCAGTTGTCTATATTGGGCTCATTTTAAAAAAATTCTATAACTCCTCACTCCCCACCACACACATGAATTTAAATTTTGAATTCCATTTGTCTAATGAGTAAATATATTTATAACATTAAAATAACAGTAAACCCAGTGAGCCCTCCAATTCTAATAATCTTAAAGTACAGTATCTGAGGCATCTGAAGTTCAGTGCCTTAGAGAGTTAATTAAGTCAAGTTAATTGGAAAAAATCTAATCTCCAGATAGGTAACATGGTTGATTATCTTGTTTATGCTTAAACAGAATAACAGAGGTCATTACAATACTTTTTAGAACATTATTGATTGATACATAATTTCTTAATTAATTTTGATTGACAATATCTTGCCTCTTGAATTTACTCTTTCATCAGAATGTCCTTAGCACAATTGATCTATTGAAATCATGATGATTTAGCAAATGATCATTTGTATAATTTAGTTTTAACATACAAAATACCCTGGCATTTGGCATTTTACTGACACTCTGTGTAAGCCAGCACATTCACACATACGTGTGGCATGCTACCAAGGGCCAAACTGAAAGGATGAAAGTTTCTGGGAGCAGTAGAGGTACCAATGAGTAGTTTGGACAAGATTTTTAGCACCCCCCACCCTCCTTAATCTCCATATCTTTCCCCCACTCTGAAGCTACTTCAAGTAAACATATGCTCTAGGTAAAAACTATGGGCTTGGTCAAGTGCAGTGGCTCACGCCTGTAATCCCAACACCTTGGCAGGCTGAGGTGGGAGGATCGCTTGAGCTCAGGAGTTTGAGACCAACCTAGTCAACATAGCAAGACCCCATCTCTACAAAAAATGTAAAAATTAGCCAAGTGTAATGGTGCATGCCTGTAGTTCCAGCTACTTGGGAGGTTGAGGTAGGAAGATTGCTTGAGCCCAGGAGGTTGGGGCTGTAGTGAACCATGATTGGGTCACTGCATTCCAGCCTGGGCAACAGAGTGAGACCGTCTCTCAGGAAAAAAAAAAAAACATATATTTGCTTGGCAAATACAACTTCAAGACAAGTTTTCTAACCCATTCTTCCAACCAGTTTGCAATCCTCAAGTCTCTGCTCTATAGAAATGAATAAGAA